>NC_000003.12:116432846-116735877 GCF_000001405.40 Homo sapiens | reverse complement strand
CAAATGGGAGAAATTGACCAAAACAAAGGGGCGACACGTTCCATGCAAGTCAGAAATCCAATAAAACTGTAATTAAACCTTAAACTTCCAAAATGATCTCCTCTGACTCCATACCTCAAATCCTGGTCACACTGATGCAAGAGATGGGCTCCCATGGCCTTGGGCAGCTCCACCTCTGTGGCTTTGCAGGATATAGCTTCCCTCCCGGCTGCCTTCACAGCTGGTGTTGAGTGTCTGCAGCTTTTCCATGTGCATGGTGCAAGTTGTCAGTGGAGCTACCATTCTGGGGTCTGGAGGCTGGTGGTCCTCTTCTCACAGCTCCACTAGACATTGCCCTGGTGGGGACTCTGTGTGGACACCCCAGCACTACATTTCTGTTCTGCACTGCCCTAGCAGAGGTTCTCCATGAGGGCTCTGCCCCTGCAGCAAACTTCTGCCTGGACATCCAGGTGTTTTCATACATCCTCTGAAATCTAGGCAGAGGTCCCCAAACCTCAATTCTTGACATCTGTGCACTCGCAGGCCCAACATCACATGGGAACTACCAAGGCCTGGGACTTGCACCCTCTCAAGCAATGGCCTGAGCTGTATGTTGGCCTCTTTTAGCCAAGTCTTAAGGCTGCACACAGCAGGAGGGAAAAAATCATTTTTCCCGTCTAGGCCTCTGGGTCTGTGACAGGAGGGGCTGCAGTAAAGGTCTCTGACATGTCCTGGAGATATTTTCCCCATTGTCTTGATGATTAATCTTCAGCTCATTGTTACCTACGCAGATTTATTCAGACTGCTTGAATTTCTCCCCGGAAAATGGGGTTTTCTTTTCTATCACATTGTCAGGCTGCAAATTTTTCTAACTTTTATGCTTTGCTTCCTCTTGAATGCTTTGCTGCTTAGAAATTTCTTCTGCCAGATACCCTAGATCAGGTCTCTCAAGTTCAAAGTTCCACAAATCTCTGGGGCAAAGGAAAATGCTACCAGTCTCTTTGCATAGCAAAAGTGATCTTTACTCCAGTTCCCAACAAGTTCCCCATCTCTATCTGAGACCAACTCAGCCCAGACTTCATTGTCCATATCATTATCAACATTTTGGTCAAAGCAATTCAACAAGTCTCTAGGAAGTTCTAAACTTTCTTAAATTTTTCTATCTTCTTCTGAGCCCTCCAGACTGTTCCAACCTCTGTCTGTTACCCAGTTCCAAAGTGACTTCCACATTTTCAGGTATCGCAGCATCCCACTCTCTGTGGTACCAATTTTCTGTATTATTCCATTCTGACACTGCTGTATGGACTACCTGAAACTGGGTAATTTACAAGGGAAAGAAGTTTAATTGACTCACCATTCCGCATGCCTGTGGAGGACACAGAAATTTATAATCATGGCAGAAGAGGAAGTAAACTTGTCTTTACATGACAGCAGGAAGGATAAGTGCACAGCAAAGGGGTGGAGGTGGAAAACCCCTGATAAAACCATCCAATCTCCTGAGAACTCACTCACTCTCATGAGAACAGCATAGAAGTAACTGCCCCCATGATTCAATTACCTCCCGCTGGGTCCCTGTCACTACATGTGGGGATTATGGGAACTACAATTCAAGATTAGATTTGGGGGAGGACACAGCCAAACAATATCACAGGGAGACCAATTAAGAGGCTATTGTAGGGCCAGGCACGGTGGCTCATGCCTGTAATCCCAGCAATTTGGGAGACTGAGGCAGGTGAATCACCTGAGGTTGGGAGTTTGAGACCAGCTTGGCCAACATGGTGAAACTCTATTTCTACTAAAAATACAAAAATTAGCCAGGCCTGGTAGCGGGCACCTGTAATCCCAGTTACTCGGGAGGCTGAGGCAGGAGAATCTCTTGAAACCAGGAGGCGGAAGTTGCAGTGAGCAGAGATTGTGCCACTGCACTCCAGCCTGGGCAACAGAGCAAAACTCTGTCTCAAAAAAAAAAAAAAAAAAAAGAAAGAAAAAAAAAGAAAACAGGCTACTGTACTCCTCTGAACAAGGTAATCTCAACAAGGACAGTAAGGCACATTAGAGAAGGGAGAGGACTAATGCAAGAGTAGGTAAAAGTCTTATAACAAGAATTTGTGGCATAACTTCAAAATGTTTCACTTGGTGTCTGGATGGATGCTTGATATTCACCACAGAGGAGATTATATGAGATTATAGGAGGTAAAGTAGGTGATGTGAAGATGTTAGAAGGCAAGATAATGAATTCAGTCTTGAGTACACTGAGTTTGAGATGTTTGGGGGTAATTCAAGCAGGCAATTGAATATATGGATTTTAAACCTGGGAAAGAGATCTTTAGGCTAGTGAAAAAAATTTGGAAATAATGCAAAAATGGCAATTGAAATTATGAGAATGAACCCATTTATTCTACAAATACTTACTGGAAACTAATTATATACCATGGAATCTCCTAAATGCTGAGGATTTAGAGGTGAATAAAATACAAAACACTTCTAACCACTTCTGGAACTTGCATTTTTGCAAGGGGGAGGTAGATAACAAACAAACGGGTAAAGTGTATAAAATAATCAGCTGGTGATAAGTAGGCATGGAAACAGGCACACAGAGTACAGGGGTAATAATCAAGAAAAGGTTTGCAATTATTAAGAGAGTGGTCAAGGAGGGCCTCCTGAGAGTGTGGTATTTATGCAAAGGGAAAGCGAGAAACATTAACTGCTATAGTCATGGGTAAGGTGAAGTTGAAAATAGGAATGAGGAGAAAAATAATGATAATGTAAGTTTTCAAATCTTTTTTGAATTTAAAAATGGGTTCAAAAATTTTTAATGTAGTTATAAAATATAGTTGATATTGTAAATTTAAAATGTCAACTGAAAACATTTTAATACTTTAAGTATAAAATATAGATTAACAGCTGAAATAATGGAAATTATGAGAAATATAGATGTTTACTTTAAACAATGAGAAAGTATATTCGAAGTTGAGGTGTTTTAAGAAATCATTCAAGCATGCAGTTGCTATCTGTATATCTAAATATGTATCTCTCTGTCTGTATATGTCCTTAAGTAACTGTAGATAATGTCTTTAAATTCATACTCTCAGTCTTAAAACAACTCTACAATAACCCTTCATCATGCTCAAGCTGGACTTTGGATATTATAAGAGCTGAGATGAAGAGATCATAAAAGAGATGCCTAGAAACTTGTAAAGCGTATTATTTCCAACACTTTAATGGTTTTTCTGTGCTTATTTATCATGAACTTCATTCATTATACATTTTTAAATTTACTAAAATTTCTGCAGACACAGTTTAATATTTTCTTTCTGGTAACAAAAAAACACCAAATTTTGGTTATTTGTGAATAATTTCATAGAGCTTGAAGAAAGCAGTAACATTTTTCTATTTATCGTTTTTTTACATGTACCTAACTAAAACAATAGGACTCTGAATGCTTAGTATGACATTATTTTAATATGTCCAAATATATCCTGACATAAACAGACAAACTGAATTTCTCAATGTAAGAGAAGTTTGTCCAGATATCTTTGTATTTCTTGTCTTAAAGCATTCAGTATATGTTATTCACTCCTTTTAACTGCATTCTTCTCTTACTAACATCTAGATATTTATTTTTTTTTAATTGAGTGTCCTAATTTCCTCAAGGTACTTGTGATCAATGCACAAGCTTTGAGTATGTGCATGATTTTGAATGTCTCATTCATTCTCATATATTGAAGATGTTAGCTGCTCATTGTTTTTACTACCTCCAGAGACAGTGCCAGATAGTCCCAAATTGGTTCATGCCAACTGTGCTAGCTAAAGCTCAGCACTTTTCCACACATTTATGGTCTTCATCTATAGGACTGCCATTATTATGGAAGTCCAGAAATCTCGAAGTGTCCAGTCAGATGTAAATCTTTTACTTAACTGTATTTTTTTTCTGTGATGGATCATTTGTGTGTGCATCTCAGTTATTGTCGTTCAGGATTTCAAGACAAAACAAAACCCTCAAACACTTATTTGAAGCTGTCCTTATGTTTGATCTAAATTCTCTTTTGTTGTATCTCTCCCGCCTCCCCTCTCTCTTTCTCTCTTTCACATAGAACTTATTTTTTGCTCTCTACTTAGTGGAAGTGGACAATTGGACAAAATTACATAGCAGCCAGCTTCGCAGGCATGACTAAATCTATTCGTTGTATTTATGGACTATAGGAAAAAGACTTTAAAAAGAACTTTTTCATTCTTCCCTTTTAGCTTTTCACTGAAGCTGAACTCTGCATTATTATCTATGTGGGGGGTATATCTGTATTTTTCCAGTGAACATTGGGCATAGTATCTTGCTACCAGGCTTCGTTAGAAGTATGCTCCTGGAATCCACAAAATGAGTCCATTGTGGGCCATGACTTGAGTTATACTGCACGTAGTTCTTAAGCTGTATTAGTAGCCACACCAATGCTACCTTTCAATGGTGTGGAAAAATCCAGTGTTAACTATATTTGCTTTTGAATATTGTTATTGTAAATGTCTCCACATTCATGATCTTCCCAAGTACTATAGAGTATTTATTTGCCAAGGTAATTGTGGCTTTACCCTTTATTGAAGACTGCTTGAGTTTAGACAAGAGGGAACCAAAGATAGTGGCCTGCAAGCTCAGTATAAACTACACCATAAATGCACAGCAAATATCTCACAAAGATGCAGTAATTATACAACAAATACCTCTTTGCTAAGCAATGAATTGTAGAGCCCAATATCCTGTAATTACAAACGATTTATATATCTGTTTAAATTACTGTGGATGCCACTTAGTGTAATCATTTTGGTGATTAATCAAACATTATGTGTGGTGTGGAATGCTTCAGAGTTCACAGGTGTGCATGTTTTTCAAATGCTTTCCCTAAAGTATCAAACTGCAAAGTTGCTAGCATTTTATTTTCCCCAGATTTTACAAAAAACTCCTCTAACCCCACATTTTTCTTTAACTACCATGGCTTTATGCTTGCTTTGAAGACATTTAGGAATATTACATCCAGGTTTTAATGATTAAAAAGTCAAATTTTAATAGCTACAATTTTCAGAACTCTAACATGCACACACTTTAGGGGGTTAAGTCAACAATAAACTAATCTTGCCAAGGATTTGTTTGGAGAGAAGCTTTGGTGGCACATTCGGCTTCTGTCCTTCTGAGCAAGACCTTTAACAGCATAGTCACGGAGCATTCAAGGAAACAGGCCAAGTGCCTACCAAGGTGTTCCTTGGGCAGGGTACAGATCTTCCCTACGGCTGTGAATGACAAGGATTTGTCCAGGACTACTGGTCTGAGCTCTTGCATTTTTGGCTGCCAAAGACTTTAGTTTAATCTTCCCGGCAACAGTAAATAAGGGTCAAATCGGATTATTCTGAACCAATATGAGAATAATTTGAGAACGATAGTTGGCTAGGGAGAGAATGTCATGCAACTGAATTACAGTAAACTACACAGAGCCTTGCCTTGGAAGGAATAATTTGATCACAAGACCTGCAGGTAACAATTATTACCGATTGCAGCAGGCCCCTCTCAGCAGCTCATATGGAAGCCAACTTAGGCAATAAGCTACCTGATCTCCTCTGCACATGTTCCAAATATGTGTATCTGCAGATGTTTATATTATACAGAAACATTTACTGAACATTTATTATGAGGCAAGACCTATTCTAAGTGTATTACTTATATTAACTCAGTTGATTTTCACAATAACCCCATGAGATACCTGTCATTACCCCATTTCACTTCTAAACACCATGCTACAGAAGTCACTCTTTAAAGTCTAAAGTGAGCATTGGTTGAAGTTATACTACTAATTTTAATAGTACATTGAATCTCAGGCACATTTAATCTCAGAAGTCATATTCTTCCCGCCAAAGCTTTTGCACATCTCTCATTTGTGCAAGTAAGAGTATCTAGAAGCTCTCAAATTTTATTACATAGTGATTTGAACCTGACTTGCACTGTCGTGTGCTATGACAGTGCAGATCAGGGAATAAAGCACTGGCAGCGCAAATCATTGGTAATTCACTGTCCAGGCTATCAGGTAATTTATTGGCAGTGTAACTTTCTAAATTTGCCTCTATCAATTGCTTGTTGTGTTTGTCTTGTTCTTCTTTTCCTTCTTTTTCTTCTTGGTTGTGTGTGTGTGTGTTTTTTGTTGTTTTGTTTTTTTTTTTTTTTTTTTAGAAAATAGCATTGACCTTATGCTTGGTAAAAACTACAGAGTTGGACTCCAGGTATTAGGAATTTTCTTCCCCAGCCTTCAAGAGGCATAAATCCTAAACTGGAAAGTAACAAACTATTTTACTAAGTCTGAAACTAGAGGTAAACTGAGAGGGTGGAGGCGCTAGAAAGAAAAGTTTAAAAAATAAAGGCATTCATTAACACTAGGAAAATGAAAACATTATTTTTCCAAATGAATTTGCTCTTACAGGTCTGCTTTTGGCAGGTATATTAATAAAGCATGTTTGATTTTAGGAACATAAACATATTTACTGAGTCACAATAGACTACCTTTATCTAAGGCAGGGGTGGCCAGTGCAGAGGTATGCTCATAAAAGCAGATCAAGAAGCAATTTTGAAAGGAATTTAGTTATTTGAAAAGCAGGAGAATTGGGAAGCATGGGAAATTTGAAAAGAGACATAAGAATTATTTTATTATTATTGAGATAGCAAGAAAGGAAGAAATTAACTGCCAACAGGCAAGTAGAGTAAAAATATCTAAAAGCAGAGGGAAGCTTCTTAAGGGACTTTTTTTCAGGTCAGGCAGGAGAAAATAGACTTGACAAATTGCTTAAAAGATTTACTGAGAAACTCTTGAAATCAATTTGAAGTTTGAGGTGTATAGATATAGCAATACAAATTCATTCATTTATTCACATGAACAAAGTTATTGAGAATTAATACTACATAAGATATGATGCCAGGCACAGCCCTTACCCTCCAAAGATCAGAATTCGGTAAGGGCAAAAGTCTTATCTTTACCTGGCAGTGTTCTAAAATTGTTATATTAGAATCAACACACACACACACACAAACACACATACACACACTCACACGTGCACACAAATGCCAATAGATTATTGCAGAGGGAGAGGTAACAGATCTTTGGGAAGTAATTAATGTTAGAGGTAATTTTAAATGGGGCCTAAGTATGTGTAAGTTGACAGGAGAAAAGAAAAGTCTGATGCAACCTGCTGAAGATGGGTTGTAACCCCATGAATATGTACAGGATCAACAGTGCCTGTTGCTGCTTATCTTCTGTAAATGAACATGTAGTCATTTAAGACATTTTCTGATGATGGATACTGAACCAGGCCCTGCATAGGCTTCTCAGGACACCAAGAAGAAGATGCTGTTTGTTTTAAAGGGTTTCGAGCATAATTGGGGTGGAATAATAGAATAATAAATGGGTAAATTACAATCCAACCAGGTATTTCTGATAAAAGCGGTCAAAGCACAGTGAGAGTATAAATTCTGCCTAGAGTTGACATCAGAACGTGGGTTAAATTGATGAGGGGACATTTGGCAGGCAAAGGAAAACCGCGAGGAAAGGCTTGGAGTTTTGTTTTGTAAACTGTAATTACATGCAGATCCCACAACCCACACTCAACTTGTGTTGCTGGTTGTCTTTTCATGGGCTAGATCTCAACACTGAAGGTCTGTCAAAAGAAATTGTGTCTATTACTCCTATCTTGTATTTATTTCTTTTGCCCTAAATTAGAAAGTAGCACTCCATCTAATAGGTCTATAATTAGAATCTTCATCTGTTAGCAGAATTATATTCCATTGTACCTCTCATTAAACTATAATTTTATGTTATTTAAGACAATAATTGTGAAGTCAACACAAAACATCCTATGTTATATACTCCATCTTTTTAGCTCAGTCCTGAACTTTGCTTTGCCTCCATTCTTTGAGCTATCAGCCTGCATTTGAGTTTCTATGTCTGTGTGTGTGTGAATGAGAGAAAAAAAGAGTGTGTGAGCAAGCAAGAGAGAGATTCTTCATTGTGTATTTTTATATTTCAAAAAAATTATAGAAAATTTTAAACATATACAAAAGTAGATAGAATGGTATAATGAATACCATTTATTCATCACCTGATCTCAGCAATGATCAATTCATGAGTCATTTTGTTTTATCTATATTCCCACTCCATTTCTCCTTCAATACTTTTGAAATAAATATCAGGCATTGAATCATTTCATCTGAAAATATTTCAGAACATTTCTCTGAAAGACGGCATGTTTTAAAACATAACCAAAATACCATTATCACTCCAAAAATTATCAAAAATTCTTTAATATCAAATATTCAGTCAGTATTCACGTTTCCCTAATTCATAAATAGATAGGCAGATACGGATATAGGTATTACAGGGTATTTTCTGTCTGAGCCAAATTCTCAATAATCTCAATTTCTGTTGTGATTGGTTAACAATATCTCCTGATTGTACTTTATCTTTTTTATTATTATAAATTTAAATTATATCATGGGTTTAGAAGGAATCAGTATACTTTAATCAATAGCAGAGGCCAACACACTATAGCCAATGAGTCAAATACATATTGCAACCTGCTTATGTAATCAAGTTTTATTGAAACGTGCAAGCTCATTAGTTTACATGTTAGCTGTGGTTGCTGTCATGCTACACCTTGGTGTTGAGTAGTTGTGATGAAAATTGTACGGCTCAAAAAGCTGAAAACATTTAGTACTGGCTCTTTACAGAAACACTTTGCTGATTCCTGCTCTGTAGGTCTTGACCCTCCCCTTCAATTCATTTTTATCTCATTTGAAATGCAAAATTATAAGTGTCATGCATGCTTTGTATATCGTCTGTCTGTAGAAAGAATGAAACTCCCTACCTGTTTTAAATAAAATAAAATGGCATCCTCCAAATTCCAAACTCCAAACTCTTTTGGAAAGATGTAGATGACAAGCAGGTATAAGAAGGAGAATGGAGACTGCTTGGCTCAGGTTTCACAAAGTAGAAGTAATTTGCAAAGATTATTACCTCAGGTCCGCAACTTCCTATGTCCTTGGCTTTTTCACTGTACTCAAAGATGATCAAGCTGGAGAACTAGCTCATATCTAACTCAACTTCTTGCTAGCACGATAATCTACAATAACACTGAGAAAATTTTAACATGTAATTAGAATTGAAGTGTATTTCTAGTACTGCTCTAAGTACTTTACACATATTAATTAATTAATTCTCATGCATACTGTTATTAACTCTAAAGATGTGGAAACTTCCAATAATTAGCCACTGAATATGATAAAAAGAAAAACACGGAGACTAAGGCATAGAAAACTTAGTGGAAGTCCCAGGCCAACCAAAAATTTATGTCAGCTTACCATTGCATTCTCACCACTGGTAGAAAATTTACATGGGGATTCAGTTATTTTGATCAAGAAGTTGCCAGATGACCATGGAGCAAGAGGGATGTAATTAAGTAGATTTTCTTTATCATGGAGTAGATCAAGACATAACAGGATAATCTACAATCCATTCCATCAATAGACATAAATGTGCCAACTGGAGATCCAAGTTTGCCCATCAAAGAACCCTCTAGTCTGGGTTATGCTGAAGCTACACTGACATCATTTCCTTACCCCTTGGCTCCCTGTATAAACCCATGTGGTGATTTTCCTCTTTCTTCAAACTGAGTAAAATAAAATGATTGGGATTCAAGTTGCATTTTCTAGTCTTCTTGCTTCTGTAGGCTTTTGCTCAAGCCATTTTACTTAAACCTGGGTATTTCCAAATCTGCTTAGCTTCATGTTTTACAAAATCTCTCTGGCACTTCAGCAGATGACTAGTATCTTCCTGTCTGTGTTTCTTCTTGCTTATTTCACTCTCAGTGGATAAACTACTTTCCATATTCTTTAGAAGCACTTGACATTACCTCGACCTACCCACTAAACTTTTGTGAAGACCAATGGTGTTAGAATGATTTTTAAAGGTAATTTATGTAACTTTTGAGTCCATAATATTGCATACCAGCATAGCCAGAATTGAATTTTTTTTTAATCTACTCCAGAAGAAAAAGCAAGAGTTACTTTAAAAGGTCATAGTTACTCCGAAGTCTCAGTGCCAAATTTTCAAGACAGAACAGATCAAGGATGCAGAAAGACCACTTGTTTCGCCAGTGTTGGTGGGCACCTGACAGAGAAGATTTCCATCTCCATGTCTATCAAATCTCCCCGTCTTCAGCAGGTGTAGCTGACAATGAAAACCAGGGGACTGTGCTAGCACCACATGGCTACCCATATGGATACAAGCAACATTGTGTAATCATTTCTGCTTTTCTATTTTACTTTTTTCCTAGGCATGAAATGGCAATCCAGAAGGGGAATATGAGAAGTGAGCTTAGGAGTTCAGCCTTAATAATAGGGTCAAATGACTTTAGAATAAAAATCAGCCAATGAGAAATTAAATATGGTACTTATTACTAAGAAGCATTTTAGGAAGACTTAAGTTATGTGCTGTAACAAGCAGTAAAGTGACATATTCTCCCACCTCAACTGCTACCCACGGATATAGTGCCTTACTATATTGTGAAAATGATGTCTGGGGTATCATGAAAAAGGATCTAGGTTCCATGTTTAAGTCTATGTGGGATAGAGAAAAAAAAAGTCAAAGGAAGTAAAATAAGCATGAGACTGAGAGAGCAGGAAATAAGAGTGAGAATGGTCCAAACATGAGAATATAAGGTCCGTGGATTCACAGGAATCTTGGAAAACATCAGTGGAACTTTCCACACATGATAGGACGGGTTCTGAGCCAATCTTATTTAGATTGCAAATTCAATACTGTGTTACAAATAGAACAATACTCCATGAAAATTAGGCAGTGGTTTACCAAGGTAAGCAGGAGGACTTTTAATTTGGATGTGGAAGAAAATAATCTTTTCTGAACTTACGTGGACATCCCTGATACTCTTCTGTATGCCCCACCTTGTTCTTGACCCCTGTCTTTGTGTATTGGGATGGATTGATTCCACATACGGGGGTTCTTTTTAATGACATAAAGAAAATTCTTTACCATTGTGTCTTCATATGCTCAAAGCTCACTTTTAGTAGAAATGTTTTCTATTGATTTTTATGGACACTTGCACCCTCCAATATTTTGCAAAATATTGATTGCGTTACTTAATATTCCTAAGAATGCCTAATTTTTGTTAGCTTTTCCCTAAAGATTGCTAGCAATCTTTGTCTTGACTTTCTATACTTCTACCTTGCTGCAAAAAACAAAAGCAAAACAACAAAAAAACCCTTCATTTCTTAATTAGAGCGCAAAACATGTACAAATCCTACCATTGTCCCCTCTGATCTACCCCCATAGAAGTGTGAATGCCATGATGCTTCCTGTGTTAAATCTTTAAGTGCCGTTCCTCCATCAAAGGTTAGTGATTTATCATTTTATGCTCAATTTTGAGTTTTATTTTTACTTTAGCTACTGGGTATTTGGTGCTTTTGAGAACAGCTTTGTATGGGGAAAAAAGACGATCACAGCTTTTAGTTATTTCTAAAATGTTCTTACCCATTTATTGTATAGATGTCAGATGTTATAATAAAATTTCTATTTTCACAGTTGCAACAGAAATGGCCACTTCCTTTTACTCAGACTTTTTAAAAAACCATATTAAGGTGAGTGGGGTATGCGTCTCATTACATGTGGGTTCAATCACACAATTCCTAATAATGCACAGTTATGTGAGTAAAATGCTGAGTTTTTTAGTGTATCAGGATGACAGTGCCAGGCTGCAAAGGCAGAGCAGGGTGTGAGGCTCCATGGAAGTTTCTACATCATGTTTTCTTGCAGTGGTGAGCTGGAGGAAAAGAAACTGTTGCCTGTTGCCTTAACTACCAGCATTACTTATGACCTTCACTGAATGTCTTTGCATTTTTTTTAGCAACATTGCTGAGTAGGAGGAAGGCCTGGATTGGGAAGCATATTCTTGGAGACTATTGTGCACAGCCTAAATAACTATCATAATGCATAAATGTGAAAAAAAACACAAAGCTGCCTAATTGTAAGACTTGAATTGAAAGAGAAATCTGGTGGCATCAAGTGGGGCCTTTGGTTCTAGGGTTGTTGAAAAGGTTTTGTGTAGGAAGTGCTGACTGGCATGATTATGGGTCCAGAAACCAAGCTGCCAGCTGTGACTGTGTATGTGCGGTGATGCTACCATCTTACCTGGGCTCTCAGAAAAGGGAACAAGTGGATGCTAGGAACTGGAAAGTACACTCAGTTTCATAGTCATTGAAGAGGAACAGGGAAATATCTAGGCCAGTGAAATAGTGGCTGAAACACTGGCCCCTGTGGCTCCATAGAGTCCTGCTGCTTCACCTTTCCATGTCCCATAGCACTGAAGTAGTTGATGAACAAGTAATGGGCTCTTCTGATTAGATGGGCTTGGTCTGACTCTTGGCCAATTGCAGGTAGCAAGCCAGCTCTTCTTTCACTCTCTCTTCCTCTCTTCTCTTTGCCAATGCCTGAATGGCATCCAAGAATGATTTCTAAGCAAAACCAGAGCATCTTGTGATTAGAAGTGAAGGAAGCAAACATACTAGGTAGAATTCTCCTGTGGTTTTCTTCATCCAGGCAGTGGATACTTGATGTATTTCCTGGAAAACTATGACAAGATTATTACAAAAGATAACTCTACATATATTACTTATTCTAAGGACAGGTGTTTGTTTTAAGAACATGAATGTACATAAAAATGTTGACTTATTTTCTGCTTTGAAGAAGAATTCATACTCATACAACATTGCAGCTTCCACATGTATACACAGATATTTTCACTCTTAGGGGTGGATACATAGGCAAATGGGCACATTGCATTAAACAAGGATCTGAAATTGGAAGAAATAAGTGCAGTAGAAACATACAGAGGAACTAAGTTTCACACATGAGGGAACACACAAAGTCAAAAGATCCTTTTGACCTGACTAAAGCAAGTTTTCTTCTGAGTGAACTATAGGCTTGGAAATTTTTGTTAGCTGTAGACTTTGAAGGGTTAAATACTTTCTTATACTACAAACTTCACTGTTTTGGTTCTTTTTAATAACCACCAATTTTCTGGGAGGGTTCATGGATTTTGGTGAAGAAGGTGGGAGTCAATTTGATGCAGAGGCCTTCTTGTACTCATTTATTCAACAAGTAACTATTTGTAATAGAAAGAGGATTATAAAATTATTAATAAAACAGACATAAGCCCTACCTTCTTGGAGCTTAGAGTCTAGTGAAAGAGACTGACATTAAGTAAAGCAACATGTAAGATAAATAATTATCAATTATATTAATTGTGCAAAGTATCCATTTGTATCAGTTGAACAATAACACACATTTTTAAGCTGCTACAGAAAATCTCCAACCATTCTTTTTTAGAGCAAACAATGGACATGTGTGGCATTAACTGCTTATTCTTTTTCAATATCTATTCTCCCCTTCTTTCTTAGTAATAGCACATGGCTGCACAGGTTTTTTAAAATACATTTTCAAACTTCTCTTTGCAGAAAGCTATGGCCCAGTGACTAACTCCTGGCTAATAGAATGTGAGTAGGAAAGTCGTGTTCAAATTTTGGGTTGTTTCTAAAGAGGAAGAGACGTGTTCTTTCCTTCTTCCTCCTCTTTCCTCCTAGCTAGAATGTATTCATATAGTAGGGACTACAGAGCAATTTGGGCTATGACGTGGAAGTCACATGTTGACGATGACAGAATAACAAGATCCAGCACCACCAAACCACCATCCCATACTCAAATCATCAACCTGGACTTTTGTATGAGAGAGAAATACTATTTCATGTTTTTCACATCACTGTATTTTTTAACTTCTTTGTTATAGCAGCCTTACTTCTATCCTGACTAATATGACATATTTCTCTTCCTGGCATACTGCTATCAGTTTTCAGTTGAAAAAGGTAAACATGGCAAAAAAAAAAAATGACAGGGGCATTTTGGGGGGCATTTTCCCTAGTGAAACATGGCTAGAATGTTCTCACATTCCTAAATTGATATTCCTCAGCAAAATTATAACTAGGTACTCAGTAATATCTAGTAATATCAAAATCTATATGATTTCATGTATACAATGTTCAGGAAGAAAGCAAAAGAAATATATGGTGTTACGAATCATTATAGAGGTAGTTAACAACCAAAAATCAGCTCGATCTTCTGATGATCTTGAGGAGCTGAGAGTTATATGGCACTGGAAGAAGGGCTTAGGAATCAGGAAGATAGAGGGCTGGATGCTAGCGAACTGAATTTAGTCCTCATGTCGTCTGGTTGTTTAAGACTGTGAATTGGTGAAAAACTTTAAGTAAGTTATAACATCCAGGAATTAAAATAAATCTCAGAAACTACCTCTACTTTGTATAAAAATGTTTCATCTCTTTCATCCCATTCTTGAGAGAATTAACCTCACTAGATAAACCTAGATGCACTAAGTCAATTTAATCTTCATAAAAAATTACATTCTAGGACTGCACATCCTGCACATGTACCCCAGAACTTAAAATGAAAGTTGAAAAGTAAAAAAAAAAAAAGAATAAATGCTAAATTTTTTTACTTTTTTTTAAAGGGCATTTTATTAAAATATGTTCCAAATGAACTGCTTTCAGAAATGCTCAATTGTGTTTATACACTAAATATTTAAGGAGAAATAATTTGGGGATAGGAGATGATATCTCAGAACATTGGCATACATTTGACAAATCAGTTTGAATCATATTCCATATCACAAATAATGGATCAAGTTTCACACTTGCTATGTATACCTTTTTCATCTAAAGTCCTCATGATTCTATAAAATACCTACAGATACCACAGGAGACATCTTTTCCACTAAGAAAAATAAGCTGAGAGTGAAACCTACCATATCTATCTACACCATGTGTGTATTATTTAAAAGGTTTTCTAAAGTTAAATGAGAAAATAGATTAACAACATGATTTTTATTGCTGATTTCTGAACACCTCAGTCTCATAACCATAGGAAGGTTTGTACCCATATCATAAGACACAATAACCTTAAATTCTATGTGTAAATATTTTGTGAATTTAATGCACTTTCTCTCATATCATTGTCATCTTTAATCACTGATGGTCAAGTCCTCGTGTCATCTGCTCTCTCTATTATTTTCTTTCCTATTCTGATGATCTAATTCTTCTCATCAAATCTATCTTACTATCCCACTCAACTTTTTCCTTTATGTATTCTGGAATGTCTGACCAATGATAATTTAATTTTCATGCATCCTCAACTCCTTCTCTCCAGAGCTTATCTTAATTGAAAGGTGATTAACTCCCAAGGATAATGCTTACTCAGGAAGCCCTTCAAGAAGTGGAAAATGATCATTTTCCCAATATATTAAGGCTATCTCTCATCACCATGGCTTATTCTAGACCAATGTTCTTCTGCTCTCATCAACAATACAAAACAAGTATTTTTTCAAGTCTCATGTCGTCCATCTATTTTCTGCCATTCTTGTTCTCTATCCTTCTAGCTAGTTTCTTTTTCACTGTTCCACCCTAAATCCTGTCATCATTCTACATAATTTCAGGTCACAGGGACTGACCAGCACAACATTCTTATTTTATAATACTTTGGTTTCTTTAACACTTATAAGTTTCAACTGAACTTTAGTTATCAGTACTTATATTAATAATGGAGTCAATTCTGTCATCTCTTAAAATGTTTATGACATTAAACTCAGGATTTCACGTTCTAACCACATCCACAATGGAAATCCTTCAGGTTTCTTATTCTCCCACTCCTAGCACATTATTTTTGGTCTCATGTTACCTACTGATTCCTTAATTTCTCCATTTCTGTCTATACCTCTCTTATATGTTCAGGAAAGGAGTGAGGAATTAAGAATTCTAGTGTAATCATAGTAAGCCTGAGAAATTCTTGGTAAAAATCCAACTAAAGATATACATAGACAGTTCAGAGCTCACAGGATAAATCTGGGCTGGAGACATAATTTGCGAATATTCAGCACAGAGATGCCATTTAAAGACATAAGTCTGGATTAGATCAACAGGAAGAAGTTGATAGAAAAGATGGGTTTGGAAGGAATATTGAAATACTTCAATATGTATAAGTTTAGTGGAGGAAATGTCAGCAAGGAAGACTGAAAAGAAATCGATAGTGGGCTGGGAAGAAACCAGGGGGGTATGCATTATTATGGAAGTTGAGCAAAGAGAGTGTTTCAAGAAGAATGCAATGTACGATGGAATGCCTTCTGTCATAGAATGAGGCAACATGGAAATCATTAGTAAAAAAACCATTTTGGTAAAATGTAAAGCTGGAAACCGGATTGAAGTGAGAAAAACAGTGAATAAAAGGAGAGGAATCTGAGCTATGATGGAGAACAAGAAAATAGTGAAGGAGATGGTAGATGAGTGGAGTTTTTGTTTGCTTTATGCTTGTTTTTCTTTTTCTTAAAAGATGGGGTATACAAAGTATGTTTCAATATGTATATGTTTAAATGTTTTCATGGAATATGAATAATCAAGTGGTGAAAGAAGTATTTATCATGCAGTAGAGAGAGGAAAAACAAAGGAGCAAAGTTGTTGAGAAATCATTTTAGGATGAAACTCCCCAGTACACAGGTAGAGAGGTTTTGCCTTTTCTGGGAGAAGGCAAGTTTCTACACTGAATTAGGAGGGCCAGAAATGCAAATTGTTTTTTCCAAATTGCTACTGAGAATAAAGAAGAATTCACTCTAATGGGGAATCTTATAACAAAGTATAAGGCAGGTATCAACTTGGAGGGATGAGAAAAGTGGGAATGTGAGTTTGGAGAAGTGGTATAAATAATAAATTCAGAGAGGGAGAAAGAAAATTTACTGAAGGAAAATAGTAGAATTTTGGCATTAATCAGGGTCCAAATGAGCTTATTGCTGTGAATTGAAGTGATACCAGTCATACTGATTATGTTTTTCTGTACACTTCCTCCTGCCCCCAGCACTATTTAGCTACTTCTACATAGGCAAGGCAAGGGAGTAGGAGACATGGTGAAGCAAGCACAATGGAGGGGAAGAGAGGAAGGGATCTGTGGGTGATTATGACCTGTGGAAGTCAAAACAGATGACTAGCAGAGCCAAACATAACACTGAGCTTATCCTCTTCCCATTCAAATATTCTTTTTATTTGCAGTTTTAGTCTGGCACTCTTTCTTACTGTTTTGGGAATCTTCTTATGACTTTAAGACTTATTTCTTCAACACAGCAAACTTCCTCAAGGAAAGGTATCACATCCTATTTCACTTTTGTTTCATCCTAAGAATAGGCATACTGAAGGTGCTCAATAAAGTATACTAAAGCAGTGAATTGGCGGTGGTTATGGGACCTGAACTCCTTCAGAAGTTTTACATTGAAATTATTAGCCTACTGCCAGAAACTTATCCCAAGAAATATTTGTTTAGTGTGAGTATTTACAGATACAGTACAGTAATTTTAGTGGTATTTGAATTTAGGCTTCATGTAGTATTCCCAATCCTTCTGTTAATTGCACTGATTACATCCTCTGGCTGATTACACTGAAAATTGCTATCCATGCCTCAGGTCAGGCAATGAGAAAGTTGTGGGTTGAGTTGTGAGGGAGGATAAATCGGTGTAAATTGAAGTAACAAGCAACTGAAAATAAAGGCAGGGGATGTTTGGAGAGAGTGTGCTGATTAGTTACCATGCTGAGCATTTTGCCTTCAACAAAATCTAACTCTGTGGGCAGACTGAAAGACTAAACTGCTGACTTACTGTGATATCACAATGGCCCTTGAAGTAAAGTTACCAACTCTCTAAATTTTTTTATTTTATTTTTACTTTAGCTAAGGAACACACCTTAGCTGTAAATTTATTCATACAGAGTATTTCTCTCTGCAATAGCTAGTCTTGACTTATTGTTTAAATTCTCAAAGTGTGGGTCACTTGACTCTAATCTGACCTTGCATGTCCAGCGGAATCTTCTATGTGCTAAGCAGCAGTACAGTGTCATCCTTAATACTTAGGGGTTTAGAGCAAGTCCCACTTAGTCTTGAGTTTTAACTTGTTTGAGCATTATCTTGAGTTTTGAGTGTTATCTTATCACTAGGAAGGATAAAGCTGGAAGGAGAGATAAGAAACCAATAGTCAAAGCAAGGGTTTTTGTAGGTCTGGTATGTTCTCCCAAATATAAAAGCCTTGCATAAAGTCTGTAAATGGAAGAATGAAAAAAAGAGAAGATGGATCATTTAAACAAATCTATATTGAGCTTGGGCATATACTGAAAGTCTCTTTCAAGCCATGTATTTCTGTTTTGGGCCCTGTTCTATTTGGTATTTTTAGCGGTGACTTGAATAACAAAGTACAGGGCCTGCTTATCAAATTTTCTAGAGTCTAATTTGTGAGGGATATCGGATACTCTGAATAACAAAATAAAAATTCAAGACTGTCAGATTAAAAAGTGAGCTAAAGGTAACAAGCTGAAAATCAGTGGGAATAAATGTGAAGTCTCATGCTTAGATTAAAACATCCATTGCACAAGACAGGTTGGGGGAAATGGAACTTAATTGCAGTTTGTGTAAAAACAAGCATTGATCGTTGGCACAATTTATGACAGAAAGCAAAGAGATCTTATACTTGAGTTAATAGAAATATAGCCTCCAGATGGTCGGATGTAAAAATCCAAATGTATTCTGTACTGATTAGATTACATCTGGAGTCTTGTATTTAGAGTTAGCCAATATATTTTCAAAGAGCCATTGAAAACTAGATGGTAATAAGGTGGTAGAAACATTTGTACACCACCATAGGACCTGATTAAGCTGGGAGAAGAAGAGATAGTTCGTGAGTACACAATAGTCATCATTTTATTTGAAGGTTTTCCACATGGAAGTAAAATTAAACCTGTCTCCAAAGGCAAAACTTTCTTCATAAATTAGACTTAAATTTGGGGTCAAATTTGAGGAACTGTTTTCTAACAATTAAATATACTCAAGGATTAAAGCTGTTTTGCAAAACAGGAAACATCCTGACAGAACAGAGGCCAGAAAAGAGTCCGGCAAGAAGAACATAAGGCGAACACTGGCATTCATTGAGGGTTTGGCCTGTATGTAGATGATCTCTAAGGTCCCTTTTAACCCTGTGGCTCTACAAGAGGGAACTGGATTTTGAAAGCTGAATCTTTATAGTGAAAACGTGTTCCTTGGTATTAGCTGTCCAGGCTGCTGAGTCGTGCACATAGGCAGTGTTTTCTTTTGATTAGCTCATCCTTGTCTGATGGACAGGTGTTGTTTCCAGTGAAGCTGGCTCAGCTTTCTTTGTTTTAGTTACTTTGAAGCAGAAGGATTAATCCCCTCTGGAGATATTTGCTTGTTTTTGCTGTCAGAGCAGTCACACTTTTCCCTTTGTATCTCTTAGATTGTTTTTTGAAGTTCAGCTTCACAGAGAAATAGGCCTCATGTTTCCTTGGTGATTCACTGAGTCTAGATAGTCCCTCCTCCACCTCCCCAAACTGCCACTGATGGTTTCTTCATCCTGGTTTGCAGTTTGGCCTCCACAAGGAAGGATAAAAGACCGACCACTTTTTGGGCCAAAACTTAACAATTTCTTGCAAAAAGTATCTCTCAGAGGTCAAACAGGCACAGGCCAAAGCCATTTCTTTCATTCTTTTCCCCACCTTTATTTGAGGTGCCTTCTGTATGAGAAAACAAGCAAATGTTAATATAAGTTTATATTTTAGAAATCAGTGCTTTCATCAGAAATAAGTATAGAAACTCTATATAAACCCACTTTGTAAAAGCATTGATGATTTACATTTAAGGCCTTTGCCATTTTTGAGTCATGGCAAATTGCCCCTTCTGGCCTTTCTTCCACAGGGCACTTTTTTCAAAATAGGATTGTTGTAAGGGCATGAACTTGGAAACACATTTATAAAAATTGAACTGGAATTAAATGGAGTAAAATATTATAAAATCTCAATGCAAATAAAACTATAAATACATATGTCGGCTTTATTACCTAAATGCATTTTGTTAATGCCATATGAAATGGATAATTTAAATCAAATGTAAATTTTCCCTGGAAAGTATCTGGATCAAGAGAATAAGAACATAAGGCACAGACTGAGAAAAAAATATTTGCAAAAGATACATCTGATAAATGACTATATCAAAATTATGCAAAGAACACCTAAAATTCAACAATAAGAAAACAAACCCGATTTAAAAATGGGCCAAATAACTTACCTGACACCTTACCAAAGAAAATATACATATGGCAAATAAGCATATGAAAATTTCCACACAGTATGTCATCAGGGAAATACACATTAAAATAACAATGAGATACCACTACACATATACTAGAATTCCTAAAATCCTGAACACAGGTAATACCAAATATTGGCAAGGATGTGAAGCAATAGGAACTTTTATTTACTGTTAGTGGGAATGCTAAATGATATAGCCATTTTGGAAGACAGTTTGGTATTTTCTTACAAAACTAAATGTAATCTTACATACTATCCATCAATTATGCTCCTTGCTATGTACCCAAAGGAATAATAAGCATATCCACACAAAAACCAGCCTACAGATGTTTATAGCAGCTTCATTCATAATTGCCAAAACTTAGAAGTAACCAAGATGTTCAGTTGGTGAATGGAGAAATCAACTGTGGTACATACAAAGGAATATTATTCAATGTTAAAAAGAAATGAGCTATCAAGCCATGAAAATGCATGGAGAAATCTTAAATGCATATTACTAAGTAAAAGAAGCCAATCTGAAAAAAGCTATATGCTGTATCATTCTAACTATTAACATTCTGGAAAAGGCAAAACTATGGAAACAGTGAAAAGATGAGTGGTTGTCAAGGGTTTGGGAAGAAGCATGAATATGCAGAACACAGAGGATTTATAAGGCAGTGAAAATCCTCTGTACAATACTATAGTGGTATAGATATGTCATATATGTTATTTTTCAAAACCCATGGAATGCACAAAACCAAGAGTGACCCCTAATGCAAACTATGGACTTTGTGTGATTATATGTCAATGCAGGTTCATCAATTGTAACAGATGTTCCATTCTAGTGGGGCCCATTGATAAGGGGGGAACTATGCCCTTGTGGAGGGAGGGGCTATATGAGAAATCGGTGTATCTTCCTCTTAATTTTGCTGTGAACCTAAAAATTAAATCTTTTAAAAAATGATATGTGGCTAGTGTGTAGCCATTTTTCACTGCTCTGTCATACAGTTGGAATAAAAATACCCTACAGGTCTTGCTATTTGAAATGTAGTCCATGGATCAGCTTCATCAACATCATCTGGAGATGTTTTAGAAGTTCAGATTCTCAGGCTCTACCTCAGGTTTAGTATATTAAACTGTACTTTAACAAGATCCCCAGTGATTTATATACACATTAATGTTTGAGAAGTACTGCTCAAGAACTTATATGCTCAAAAACTTGCAGATATCTAAAATCTAAGATGCAGACTAGCTCTAAGTAGATGGTACTGTTTTAATGATAAAATTTCAGAAAGATCATCATGCCAAACCATCTCCTGCTGTGTTTTCTAGATTAAGAATACACATTTGGTGCAAAAGTCCACAATTCCATGGTGAAAGGTAAAATTTCTAAAAGCTCTTGATTCCACACAGAAGACTCTTTTGATGTGGGGGAGATCTTTTGTTCTCATTGGCTTATTTGCTTTAAATTGATTTTTTTTTTACCTGTTTCCCATGGCTATTATGGTAATAGATGCTTTGGGGGTTTCCTGGTGGGTAAAAGATGTATGCTTCTTTCCTCTGCAGCAATAACTTTGAGAAGGATAATAGGAAGTCACTGTATGAACCAGAAAAAAAGGAAACATAGAATATAGTCTAGCTTCTTTTTTCTTTTCTTTTCTTTTTCTTAAAGATGGATTTTCGCTCTTATCACCCAGGCTGGAGTGCAATGGCACGATCTCGGCTCGTTACAACCTCTGCCTCCCGGGTTCAAGTGATTCTCCTGGCTCAGCCTCCCAAGTAGCTGAGATTACGGGTATGCACCACCATGCCCGGCTCATTTTTGTATATTTACTAGAGACAGGGTTTTGCCATGTTGGCCAGGCTGGTCTCGAACTCCTGACCTCAGGTGATGAGACCACCTCGGCCTCCCAAAGTGCTGGGATTACAGGCGTGAGCCCCCAAGTCTGGCCTAGTCTAGCTTCTTAGATATGCAAAAGGTGTCTTTACAGCTCATAAGTGTTCCAGGACAGTTCATCATGATTAGAAACCTTCTACAGATTTAGGCTTAAAACTCTAGTTAGAAACAACAGTGTTCGTACCTGGTTTATTATCCATGTAGATCTCTACTCAATACTTAGCATAATGATAGGTGGTTGAAGGCAACAAAACACAAGTGACATCTCTTAGCAGACTTGAGCTCCATATCTTAAGACTTTGATTCAGGTTATATGGTAAATATCCTTGCTTGGGATGGTATATTATATTAAGTGGGTCTCAACGTCTTGCATTAGTGAATGACCTTAGGGCTGCTGTTAACAGTTAGGGAGTGTCAGCATGATGTTAATACAGCACCCAAGAAAAAGTGCTTAACCAGAGAATTTAAGAAGGAATTGTTTTTCTCACTGGGTCATCTATAGAATTTTGCCCTGATTACAGTTTGTGTCTAATCTGCTCCAGGAAAGAACAAGACAATGGGTACAGTGAGGTGGACTGCTAATTAAAACATAGCCTTAAATTCATTATCCATATTGTGAGTGATTATAGTCTACATTGTATTAAAATTTTAAAATCTAGAATAAGAAGAAAGGGATTATGAACTCAGGGTTAGAGATATATTTATGTGTGTTTTAGAAGTAATCTTTAGCTTTTTCTTATTTAAAATGAACTCATAATGACATACAGTCAATTTGAAAATTTGATGGTGTAATGCATGTAGAAGCACTTGGTAAGCTGAAAAAGACAGCTCAAATATTATATGTCTACATACAAACAGATACTATTTATTCTCTCACTTACCATTTTCTCAGTGCAGGTCAACACTGATTGTAACCTAAAAGCATGAGATGCAACTCTTTCTCTCCAGACTTAATTTTGTTATTTATCAAAATTTACAATTGATGAGAAAACGCCCCCACCCCCAACTTAGCATATCTCTCTCCTTTCTTCAATTCTGTCCTCTTACTCTGCTTATTCCCCAGACCATTCTAAAAAGTTCCCTCTCTTCCCTTGGTGTTTATATTCTTCAAATGCTTGTAGACAGTTTTCATACGCCACCTCAGTTGTTGCTTTGCCAAGCTACATAGATTTAGTCCTTTTCATCTTTCCTCATAAGTCACTGCCTCCATCTCTTTAATCATTTTTCTTACTGTTCTCTGAATTCCATCCAATTTGTTGATATCTTTCTGGTAGAGAGGTGCCAAGAACAGAGGGTACAGTGTGGTTAAGGAGCCGTGTCCATCACTTCTCAGCCAGATGGGATGGTTGTTACTTCAGAGGACACACTGAATATATACTGGGGGCTGAGATAAAGGAAAAGGAAACAGTAACTCTTGAGAAAGTAATTCTATAATTCATTGTCCCTAGGGAAAATAAAATAAGCATTTAATTAAAAGATGTGTTTCTAGTTTTGTGACTAGCAGATGCTGTTTTGGTGACAAAGGCAGAAAATTGCATCATTTAATAAGATAAGAAAACACAGGAGCATAATGCTGTAAATCAGACCCTTTCTCACATTTAGAGAAACAATTGTAAACTATGAACAATATTATCTTGAAAATGCTTTTAGTTATTTTATTTAGTATGAAAGCAGACAGGAAATCTGGATCAAATAATTAAAACATTTAACATATTTCTTGTACCATGCTAATGCAGATAATAACCAATTCATAAAATGTGCCTCACAAAAAAGGATAAATTCTGTAAATTTATATTTATGTAGAGTTTCCATCAAAGGTTTTTAGGTTATGTTTCAAGATTTAGGTTTAGGTTTACTTGCAGGCTGAGTGACAGGTTAAAGTGTGAATATTTGTTATGTAGGCTTTCCACAGTTAATACTCAGAAGCAAGTATTTTCTAGTGTATTAGACTGAAGCTGAATATAGATATTTCATGAGATGCTTTATTGAAACTGAGTTTCGTTACAGCCCTAATTTATCTTTAGTGTTTTGCTTTATGCTTATGTTTAAAGTTTGACTGTACTCATTGAACTGTGCTTGATCATTAGTAATGGCAGCTATCTTTAATGAGATGCATGTCACCCTCTAGCAGGTGGTATGGTCTAATAGTCTGAGGATTGAATTATGATTCAGAAAGGAAATATTTCTTATATGGGACTACATCATAGAATGAGAAAGCTGCAAGTATCTTAAAAATGAAATAACACTTGAAGTGGGAGAAAGAAAAAATAAACAAAACAGGTTTCCTGAATAATAATCATGCCCTCTTAGTCCCTGAAAGGAGAAATCACAATTCATATATTGCTATTATAGAATCTAGCAGAAGCCTGGTCAATAAAGTGCTGACATCTTTAGTTAAGACAACCCATCTGTTACTCTACTTTGTGCTGTAAGGAGGATGAAGAGAGAAATAGTTACTACAATGCATGTATGTTTTCTAGCATTAAAGCTGCAGAGAAAATAAATCTGCATGCCCTTACTTCTTAGAACTCCAAGAACATTACTGAGGTTGTGTTGGTCTACATACTACCAATACTTACACTGATGGTAATTCTTAGATATTGGCCTAGTCAGAGTACAAAGTTTAATTATAAATTCATATCTTCCCCTTGATACCTTTATCCTAAAATGCAGGTTTTGAAGATGGGAAAGTAAAATCCAGAAATATAGGCACAATTAACAAAGCTATGTAATTGGATTCATAAGAATGAAAGTTTGGGTTTTAGCTTATCTAGCCATGTGACCTTGGGAAGCACTCTTTGTTAATGCAGTTTGTTAATGGAGTAACTATCTACACACTTCTAATTCCCAGGGTAGTCAGGAATATCTATGGGGTTAATGCCATGGGGTATAGTAAGGGCAGTGCTGTACTGAAAGGCACAATAACTCCTTATTGTTTTTCATTTTGTGGTAAAGGTAATCATGTCTCTTTACATGTCTTTCATCTTCACTCTAAGGTTTACTCCTAAAAAAACCATTAGTTTGGAAAAGATTCAACTCTGCAACCATATTAGTTTTGCTTATAAGTTTCAGAGTAGTGAATGGGAAAATAATTTGCATTGCATGAAAAGTAGTACTTACATTTAGAATTTTCTTTCATATCAGTTTTTTATATTTAGAATTTTAAAATTTTAGTAGAGAAATAAGGGATAGGAAATTATTCTAGTCCCAGCTGAGACTCTTCTATCTCATTGTATGGCTGTACCCTAAGGGCATAGTTAGCATCACTTTTCTGGTCACTTCCTCCTGATATATTTGGGATAAGAAAGGGTTTATACCTGCTCCTCTCCCACATCTTCATCTTGACTATCACTTCTGCATGGCATTTTCTCTCCTCCGTCATTCTTTGTGTTGCCATGGTCCACTGAACACTTGTTGCTGGTACACCAGGGAAGTTATGTGTGGCAGACCCCTTTCAGTAAAACTGAGATCTTCAAAATGGCCTTTGCAGAGAGGGAGTAGATAGAATGGAGGGCAGGTCCTCTTTCATCTTACACTTGTGGGAATAGTAATCCAAAAAATTATATGGGCATATATACAATACCACTGAAATCTTGGGAAACTATTTTAAAATTAGAAATTTGTGGGAAATTTTAATTTTTATTCTAAGTGTTCATTGTTTAAGAGAAATGCGCTCACGGTTCGAATTTGCTTGAGCATGATCTGTGGGTACAGCCTCACTTTAACGTTGCTCTTTTCTTCCTTGATCTCTCCACCATTAGCAGAGGCCCTTTTTGTCTAAACCACTGTCAGACTTATCTCTACCTACATTTTAGGACACATTATCCTCTACCTATAGAAACTGATCTTATCATCTTCCTACCTCTAGCAAGATATATCTCCATGTCTTAAGTCTGGAATAATCTGGGATCTGTTCCCAGAGGAAAAGCTCAGAGTGGACTTTGGTACCCCTTGTGTAACAGAACAATCTAGGGCGTCATAGGAACATCATTTGTGATTCCTGTGAGGTCACAAATGATTTCATCAATATGCGTCTTTTGAAGGGGGCAGGTTTACTGGTTAATTGCTAAATCACATACATAGAAGCACATACACACAGATCCATATTCTGCCTGGTCAAGAAGGAAACACTAATTCTCAGAGGCAGATCTTTCTAAATAAGAGTTCTCAAACTAGTAATCCACTAGCCTAATTCAGCTCGCGTATATATTTTATTTGGCCCATACAGTTTTTGTTTATTTTTAGAAATTGCACCAGCATTAAAAACGGATACATTTGATATAAAAATCCACATTTCTAGCTTTTCTCAAAAATATATTAAGATCTAGATCCACTAGACCTATAATTCTACATGAGAAAATTTGGCTAAGCTGAGTAGGGGCTGCCTTCTATAGGCAATGTGTATGGTCTTCATTCAGCCATGGTCTCTACCAGTTCCTGTTACTGTCCCAGCATGGAAGCCATGCTAATTATTAGTCATCACCGCATTGTTTCTCTTATCCATAAGGAAAAAAAATCCATTTCTGTTTTCAAAATCCATAACTCTGAGCTGTGGGAAATCAATTAAATGTTCTAATTTTTTTCTAAGCCTGATTAGTGGCAGTAACCGAGTTCAAATTTGTCATATTTTCATCCATAACAAACTTGCATTTTTGGACCATAAAGTGAAAATAATAAAGAAGGAATAAAACTGTAAAAACCCACCTGATCAAAATAATTATAATTATTATTAACAAGGGGTAAAAATGTAGAAAGACGTATTTATTGGATAGATGACCATCACTAAAAAAAAAAAAAAAAATTAACTCTCCATGTACTAAAGCAAGAACAAAGCATATTCCATTTTTTCCAATTCAGAATGCCCTTGAAGTAGATTCTACATATAAGTAATCATGGACAAATTATAAATTAGAAAAGTGATGTAGGCTTCCTTGAATAAAGAGAAAACAAAATAGACGTTATGTTTTCTCAATTCTTAAGATGTAAGTTGCCTAATTGTGGCTGGGGGAGAAGGAATCAGAAAATATTAGAGATCGAATGACTCTTGCTAGCATTTAACTTCTCCCACATCCCAACATTTACTGATGAAGAAACTGAAACTGTCCATAGTATCACAATTCATCTATTGCAAAGGCTAGAAAACAGGATTTTTGGTTTAGAGATAGTGCTGCCTTTGATCATTAGAAATTATTATAACTCAGCACATGGAATTGGCACTCATCTTTTATGTTTGCAGTCTGCAAGATGTGCCTTTATTATTTTTCAATAAGTCTTAAGGTGGTCATTGGGCAGGGAGGATGGTCCTGCTATGGAGTAGGGAGAAACAAATCAACATAGTTTTCATTTCTATAGAATGCTTCACCTCTATAGCTATTAGACCATGAGACTTTATGAACTAAGTTTAGCCACTGCTCTTTTTACCAACTTAGTAGAGAGAACAGAGGCCTGGTAGTGAAGGTCAACAACTCTGATTTATAACCTGTCTCTACCTAGTATTTAATTTTAAGACTATGACTAGGAAATTTAATCTTTCTGAACCTCGGCTTCCTTATCAGTGTAGTGAAGATAATGCTACTCAGCTTGTGGACTGTTCACTTCTTCATTGAAGAAGTGCATATTAAACCCCTACTATGTGCCAGACGTTGTTCTTGGTGCTAGTGGAGAGCCAGAAAACAAATGCTCTACCTTATAGGAGGCAAGGTAGTTGCAAGGATTGAAAGAATCATCTGCAATGGTTTCTTACACAGAGGGCATGTTCAATACTTTTCATTGTTCATTTTCTCTCTGATTCTTTTCCGAAACCACACCCTAAAATCAGGAGAATCTTTGCTCCTAAGTTTCAGTATAGATTGAGAAAATAAAGCATATAAATGGCCAAGAATAGGACTTTGTGAATTTTAAATAACCAACCAAGATCCAATTTTTTTATCTTTGTGCCATGCGTGAATGAGGTAGGTTATGTAAAACAAGGACAAATGCACAAGCGCCTCCAGTCATACACTTTCCCATGACAACATGCACAATCTATTCTTTGTCAAATGTAGAGCAACTCCTGCAGTACTTGTATTTCAGAATTTTTCTATGGCTCTTAGAGCAAAATCACAGACATTTTACTTTGTCTTTGTTTCCGCCAAAAATTTGTAAGGCAGAGTAAGATTCCCATTCCTCTACATTTTTATACACTAGGATTAGGGGTGGACATGGGTGATTAATCAAGAAAAAATTCTCATGTCTTCTTTTGATCATCATCTCTGAAAGAGAAAAGAGAAATTAAACAGAATTAGGCTGCTGTGAGGAGATCTTGAAAGCATTCAGGAAGACTAACAACAGAGTCGCTTATTTTTTTGCCCTAAAGGGAACTCTTGACAATTGAAGTAAGGAATGAAAGTAAACACTCTACTAGGCCCCTTATAGGTGTTTTCATTAATTCTTATGACATATAATCCAATAACATGAAATATAAATAATAGAACATTGGCAAAAAAAACCCCACACAATTTAAGTATAGTTTTGAATTATGTTTATGTTACCTCTGATTAGGAAGCCTATGTTTTTCCACTTCATCATAAGTGAGATTCATCATATCCCACTAGCCATTGTCATATGTGTGTGACAGTGTTTGTCTGAGCTTTGTTTCATTTCAATCCAAAGTATACTTTCTTTGGTGTTATGTACAGCTATTGGAGTAGTGACTTCTCCCTATTATAGGATCATGGGTTAATGAAAAATACATCCATTTCAGACCTGCTAATAACTGGTTGCATGGCATGGGTTGAACAAGTCACTTGATTTCTCTGGGCCTCTGTTTCCTCACCTGTAAAATGGGATGAGTTCAGACTAGGCTACCTGTAATACCATGTAGCTCAGCAAAGGCGATTCCTCAAATGTATATGTATGTGTGAGTGTATTTAAATAAGTCTTTAAAACTATCTGATTGTCCACTCTTTTATAATAATACTGGAAATATACTGAATTGTCACAAAATTAGGGTTCTATCCCCTCCTGAGAGAAATATATTTGCTATTAATTCTAGAATACCCCCCTACATGCTTGTCATTGCCCCAGGCAAGTGATGGAAGAGAAAACAGGAACAGGAAACAGTACCTGCAGTTATGCATCTCTTTTTTCAGAACACTGGCTCCTAAATTAATAGAAGGCTGCCTGTTCCCCCAGCATCTTCTGTCTCTGTCCTCCCCTCCCTTTCATCAGTAATCTTACCTCTTCTCAGCTAGCTGTTTGCTAACCCAGGGTAAATTATTTTTGAAAACTGTGACATTATACTTATTGTAACAGTAGCAATTAACTTTCAGTTGTTTTCAGCTTGTAGCAGAAGTGAAGTGAGTTTTGGTAGGGGAGAAGAAGGAGGTAATTTCAGGGAATTCAAGCATTTGGAGAAGCCCACATCTTGTAGATGACAGTAACAAACATTTACGGATTTAAAGAATGTAAAGCCCCAGTAGAATGCCTGGCAAATAGTAGTAGGAGTTTAATAAATTGCATCCTATTATTCTTACTTCACAAACCAGCCTTGCATGTTTTATAATCTACTCAGATCCTTGGAAAGCAGGTTCTTCTTTAAAACCTCCATGAAGTCGGCTGGGTGTGGTGGCTCACACCTGTAATCCCAGCACTTTGGGAGGCCAAGGCGGGTGGGTTACTGGAGGTCAGGAGTTTGAGACCAGCCTGGCCAACATGGTGAAACCCTGTGGTGGTGGGCACCTGTAGTCCCAGCTACTCAGGAGGCTGAGGCAGGAGAAACGCTTGAACCCTGGAGGTGGAGGTTGAGGTGAGCCGAGATTGTGCCACTGCACTCCAGCCTGGGCAACGGAGTGAGACTCCGTCTCATTAAAACAAACAAACAAATAAAAAAACCTCCATGAAGTCCTTGAAACCTGGAACACTGTTTTATAATTCAACCTAATGTATTAATTCTAGAGATAAACCATTTTCTGTTGCCTTTTCTTTTCTCTTTCCCTGGATTTCGCTACTCCCTTATTTTGTTCTTCATTCCTGTATTTTCTCTCATTCCCTCTTTTGACTTTGTTCCTTTTACATCTGCAATATAATTGCTATTTCCTAATATCCTTATTATCCAGCCCACCTCACTTGTGGCCATGAGGTAAAGTATATTCTCTGGCTTGGGAGAAAGCCTACTAATGTGCAGAAACCCCATACCTGAGGCAAGGTGAGGATTTAATACGTTTTCTCATCTCTTCTTCCCCAGTCCCCCTCCTCTGTTTTCTTTTGTATCAAAGTACTAAGAGTCATACTTAGCACTTTTTATTTTCCACCAGTTTTCTTTTCTCTTGCCTTCTTTTATTTTATTTTGCTTTCTGTCAGCTTCTGGAAGACTGAGAATCAAGGATGTGTGAAGAGATTGTCCAATAACATGAAAGCAGAAACACAGCAAAGGGGTCACTGAGTTTTGAGAGGACTGCTGTTGCATTCATGCATATTACTGGCATTCTTTCACTTAAATAAAATGTATTATGTTTATTTCTTTAAAAAATATCAACAATCTGTGGTTTGATTGCCCTTCCTCACCTCAGGTCTTTGTCTTTCTGGCATCCAATGCTCATTTCTCCATCTGCTTTTTCTTATACTGTTTCTCTTTCCTGGATAACTGGCCTCCCTCTTCTCTATTTAATACTCCTTTCAGTATAAATCTCCCTCATTTTATATGATTTTGCTAATGAATAATAATAATAAAATAGAAATTGCGTATTGCTTTACAGGGTAAGATTTTTTTTATGTTCACATTTTATCTGACTCTTGAAATAATTCCAAAAGACACATATTACTGTAATTCCCAATTTGCAGATGAGAAAACCAAGCCCAGGCCCCAATTACATGGAACTATTAGGCATTATGATTCCTGATATTATGCCCTTTGCACAAAACTGTACTGTCTTTCTATCTTGCCTATATTGATCTTTGCCTTTGATGATTTATTTTAGTACTTACACCAACTCTGTGTAATTTATTATTTAATTATATACTGTGGAGAATTATTCTAAAATTACTTTATAAATCATCTCATATATATTAGGTTTATTCAGTTTAACACAGTTAGTTTATTCAGTCTAATGCGATGGAGATTCTATCTTACCCAATGCTTGTATTTCTCTTTTAGTACTTGACTCCGTATTTGAACCACGCATATTTAATAAATATTTTTATTGATTGACTGAATTAAAAATTATTCTATTCAACAAATTTCATATCTTCTTATGTGTCTAAAAAGATGGCTAGGTGGTAATTGTAATGATGATGGTGATAGTTCTTGTTGTTAATAACCCTGCTATGGTTTGAATGTGCCCTTAAAATGCATGTGTTGGAAATTTAATCCCCAATACAGCAGTGTTGGGAGGAGGGACCTAATGAAAGCCAATTAGGCTATGAGGTCTCTGCCCTCATTAATGGATTAATGTCATTATCTCAGGGGTGAGCTTTTTATAAAAGGATGAGGTCAGCCCCCTCTTACCTGTTTCTCTCCTGTCCTTCTGCCTTCCATCATGGGATGACCCAGCGAAAAGGCACTTGACAAATGCAAACCCCTTAATCTTGGACTTCCCAGCCTCCAGAACTGTAAGAAATAAATCTCTCTTCTTTATGAATTACCCAGTCTCCGATATTCTGTTATAGCAGCACAAAAGGGACTAAGACAAATCTCATCCTCTTAATTCCCGTATGAGAACTATGTGTGTTTCTCCTGCTAGTATTGCCATTTCACAGATGTAACCATGAAGCAGATAGTGACCAAATCACTTCTGCCAGTGTTGCCCTTGCCAAATTCAATGATGACTGATGCCCTTTGGAATGCATACTACACTCTCTATTTTGTAAATGTGGACTACCCATGTCAGCTTCAGCAATATTTACCCAAGAGTAAATAAGATTTTTGAAATTATAGTCAAATGTTTGGAATACCACTTTACAAATCTGGGTAGGCTAAGTGCCATTGTGTTATACTAGTCTAGCCTTCTGTGCAATATGATGTTTTTAATTCCGTTTTTTAACTTCTATTTTTTTTTAATCTGGCAGAGATGGTTTAAAGAAAAAGTAAAGAGCTAGCGGCTGGCTTATTATTTTTTTTTTTCCAGTAGGAGGAGTACCTCTTTAAGGAGGAAACAGGTGTTAAAGTACTTCTCTTCTTTATCCTTAACCTACTCCCTATTTTTTTTCCCTATCTTCCTCACTGGCAAGAGAGTCTGGCTTTTATACATAAGATTTACAGGAAATGTTTCTTCCTCGGCAGAAGAAATATTTAGACAGCAGCAGTGACAGACTTGAATATCCCACCCACGGTAGACCTTCTGGTTCCATGAAGTCTTTCATATGAGAGAACTGAAGGATGAAAGGTGTTTTTCAAAAGTTTTTAAATTATTTTTAATAATTACAGTTCTCTTCCTCAGAGACTGGCAATCTGGAGATTTAGGGATATTTTTCTCTTCACTGGCTTGAATTTTTCAAAATTCTGTTGTTTTCTTTTTTCTCTTTCAAGGATAAGTAGGAAACCTTACTACAGGTTATCATGCAAGGTGGCTTTTGAAAGCGATGGTGGCAAAAAAAAAAAAAAAAACTGAATGCCTGCTTCACAGTCTACGTGGGAAGTAGTGATAAAGGAAGGGATGCTTTCAGGGCAGAGAGTGTATTATTTCTCCAAAAAACCAGGTCAGTATGTAATGTAGCAGACATGTTATGCGACCTGAAAACAGTACAAATGAAATAACATTAGAGAGAAACAAAACTACATCCTATAAAGAGAATATGAAAGAAAACCAGAGCACATATACAATGTATCCTTTTGGGAGCAAAAGCATCCTTAAACAAAGAAAAAGGACACTCTTGGTGCTCTTAGTATTCTTGACACTATTGTTTTTTGGGATAAACAGCATTTCCTGGGAGCTTGTCAGAAATTCAGACCCTTCATCCCCACCTCAGATCTACTGAGTCAGAATCCGCATTTGACAAGATTCCCCCATGACTATCTCTGAGGTGCCGCTAAAGACATTGGTACTAACTCTTTATTTCTGACTGTTTCTGCCTTTTCTGTCTTTGGACCCTTTGCCTTCCCCTTTCCCTTTATTTCAGCAAGTTCTTAAGGAGGACTCAGCTGACTTCTCAGCTACTGGATCAAGCCCGTCTGCTTGTAATAAATTGCATAATACTGTAGAGGGAATCTGTATTTAGCTAGCAAAACACAATTCTGATGTCAGGCTAACTGTCTCTGGGGATGCTGGTTGGGCATGCTGCTGGGCGCTCTGTGGTTAATATATAATTTTATCTTTGAAAGACAGAAATTAGATCAATATTTCTTCATTTCCTTGGGTTTAAGAGTAGCTCACGCTAGGATTAATAGGTCTCAATGTTTTTCAAAATGCTAATATTCGTTCTATGTTGTCAGAACAATAAATCATTTACTCTAAGTTCAGGCCCAAGGAATAGTGAAGCAATTACTGACTCTGGTCACAAGATTAAACCTTTGAAATAATATTTGCTGATACATTCTTCACCAGGAAATATCATCACTTTCTTTGCCAATTACTATGGGCTAATAATGAACCCCCATTACATGACCTATTGTTTGTTATGGCTTTATGCTGAGAAAACACCATGAAGCCATCTGGAAAATACTCATCAGCTGTTCTCCTCAAGTGCCATAGTACCAAGTTTGTTCTGCATATTACCATATAATTGAGACTCAAACCTGCTTTGGCCTCTGAGGGAGTCGCTGTGGTGTGGAGTTCTTTCTAGTATATTACTTGTAGTATGCAGTTACAGGGACTTGTTTGCTGAAGATCTTACTCCAGTTTGATATTAAAATGGGAAAAACTCAGTATGTTTTTTCCTCTATGGTTAACTACAGACCCAAAATAAAGTATATTAACTGGTGCATTGGGATAGCGTATGATTAAAATCAAAACAAAAATTCATTTTGGCTGAGTAGATTCAACTCGGGGGGAATTAAAACTTCTTTCATTCTGTCATGTCTACCACTGTGACTAAATTAGCTGTGGTGTCCCTAATTCAGTGTTTGTAACTTTTAGTCATTAATTCTACAGCTGAGGATTTGATCAACCTTGCAGAAATTTGAATCAGTTCTTAATAGAATAAAAAATAATACTTCTATCTCTGCAGCAGAGAAACTCCATGAACACAGTAGGTGCTCAAAAATACTTGTTCTATTTCTGAGATTATCAATAAAGATTTTGAAATTCCACCCTGTTTAACTGTTATACCTAAAATCAAAGAAACACAATACAAAGGGAGCTGTTTCTTTTCCCTAATATTGAAGATAATGCATCATGCTAGAAGAAAAATTCTAACATCAGTGTTTCTTTAATCCATTTCTAAGAGATATGCCTTTGACTAGAGCTATGTTGATTGACCTTCAGGGTAATTTTAAACCCTGAGCACCACATCTGAATTGGAATCAAAACACATATCTTTCTTGCTGAGCACAGCATTCTTTTCAATTCAACAAGAATTTTCATGTGCTTAGCATTATCATAGGCAAAGGAAATGCTAAAGCTATAGAACATATGGTTTTTCCTCTCTATACAATGTATATATTATTACATAATACAGTTAGAGAGAATCTCAAAGAAGATGTAAAACAGAATAGCATATATGAATTAAACCATTATCTGTATTCACCAAACTGGTTCTCCTCCTTCCACCTCTCTTCTAGAGAGTAGCACCTAAGCCTTAAATTCAGATTTCATCCTAAACTCCTCCCTTTCACCTCCCATTACATCCAGTCAATCATCAAATCCAGTGGATTCTATCTTCGTAATATTTCTTGATTCAGTATCTTTATCTCTTATGCTGCTGCTTTAGATTGGCTTGGCATTACCTTTAGCTTAGACTATTGCAATACCCTTTTACATTTTGACTCATCTTCCTGAATGACTTTCCACCAACCCAGTTTCTTAAAACATAGATCTAAAACTTATACTATTCTTATTTTCTCCATCAGTCATGAGAAAATGTCCAGACCCTATATTCTTGATCTGGGCCTCCAGTTTTGTCTCCATCAGCATAGATACTTATATCCTATAATTCCACCAGAACATATCCAGCTGTTTCAGCATCTGGAATTTTTCACATATTCCTCCCCTATAATGCCCTTCTTTCTCTTATTTTCTCCACTTGATAACCAAGAAAGTACCTTTCAAATTTTTATTTAAGAGGGTTTCTTTTTTTTTTATACTTTAAGTTTTAGGGTACATGTGCACAACATGCCGGTTTGTTACATATGTATACATGTGCCATGTTGGTGTGCTGCACCCATTAACTCGTCATTTAACATTAGGTATATCACCTAATGGTATCCCTCCCCCTTCCCCCCACCCCACAACAGACCCCGATGTGTGATGTTCCCCTTACTGTGTCCATGAGTTCTCATTGTTCAATTCCCACCTATGAGTGAGAACATGCGGTGTTTGGTTTTTTTGTCCTTGCAATAGTTTGCTGAGAATGATGGTTTCCAGCTGCATCCATGTCCCTGCAAAGGACATGAACTCATTCATTTTTTATGGCTGCATGGTATTCAATGATGTATATGTACCACATTTTCTTAATCCAGTCTATCATTGTTGGACATTTGGCTTGGTTCCAAGTCTTTGCTATTGTGAATAGTGCCACAATAAACATACGTATGCATGTGTCTTTATAGCAGCATGATTTATAATCCTTTGGGCATATACCCAGTAATGGGATGGCTGGGTCAAATGGTATTTCTAGTTCTAGATCCCTGAGGAATCACCACACTGACTTCCACAATGGTTGAACTAGTTTACAGTCCCACCAACAGTGTAAAAGTGTTCCTATTTCTCCACATCCTCTCCAGCACCTGTTGTTTTCCTGACTTTTTAATGATTGCCATTCTAACTGGTGTGAGATGGTATCTCATTGTGGTTTTGATTTGCATTTCTCTGATGGCCAGTGATGATGAGCATTTTTTCATGTGTCTTTTGGCTGCATAAATGTCTTCTTTCGAGAAGTGTGTATTCATATCCTTCGCCCACTTGTTGATGGGGTTGTTTGTTTTTTTCTTGTAAATTTGTTTGAGTTCATTGTAGATTCTGGATATTAGCCCTTTGTCAGATGAGTAGATTGCAAAAATTTTCTCCCATTCTGTAGGTTGCCTGTTCACTCTGATGGTAGTTTCTTTTGCTGTGCAGAAGCTCTTTAGTTTAATTAGATCCCCTTTGTCAATTTTGGCTTTTGTTGCCATTGCTTTTGGTGTTTTAGACATGAAGTCCTTGCCCATGCCTATGTCCTGAATGCTATTGCCTAAGTTTTCTTCTAGGGTTTTTATGGTTTCAGGTCTAACATTTAAGTCTTTAATCCATCTTGAATTAATTTTTGTATAAGAGGTAAGGAAGGGATCCAGTTTCAGCTTTCTACATATGGCTAGCCAGTTTTCCCAGCACCATTTATTAAATAGGGAATCATCTCCCCATTTCTTGTTTTTGTCAGGTTTGTCAAAGATCAGATAGTTGTAGATATGCGGCATCATTTCTGAGGGCTCTGTTCTGTTCCATTGATCTATATCTCTGTTTTGGTACCAGTACCATGCTGTATTGGTTACTGTGGCCTTGTAGTATAGTTCGAAGTCAGGTAGGGTGATGCCTCCAGCTTTGTTCTTTTGGCTTAGGATTGACTTGGCAATGAGGGCTCTTTTTTGGTTCCATATGAACTTTAAAGTAGTTTTTTCCAATTCTGTGAAGAAAGTCATTGGTAGCTTGATGGGGATAGCATTGAATCTATAAATTACCTTGGGCAGCATGGCCATTTTCATGATATTGATTCTTCCTACCCATGAGCATGGAATGTTTTTCCATTTGTTTGTATCCTCTTTTATTTCATTGAGCAGTGGTTTGTAGTTCTCCTTGAAGAGGTCCTTCACGTCCCTTGTAAGTTGGATTCCTAGGTATTTTATTCTCTTTGAAGCAATTGTGACTGGGAGTTCACTCGTGATTTGGCTCTCTGTTATTGGTGTATAAGAATGCTTGTGATTTTTGTACATTGATTTTGTATCCTGAGACTTTGCTGAAATTGCCTATCAGCTTAAGGAGATTTTGGGCTGAGACAATGGGGCTTTCTGGATATACAGTCATGTCATCTGCAAACAGGGACAATATGACTTCCTCTTTTCCTAATTGAATACCCTTTATTTCCTTCTCCTACCTGATTGCCCTGGCCAGAACTTCCAACACTATATTGAATAGGAGTAGTTAGAGAGGGCATCCCTGTCTTATAATCATCTTCCTAAGCATGACTGAACTTCCTCTCTCTTGCATCCCATTCCATAGACTGGGCATACTTCTATACTTATTCCTACAATATTATATCTACTCCCATTCAATTGTAAGCTCCTCAAAGAGGGGATCCAAATATTCATCTCTTCAGCTCCTTGAAGAGTGAGTAGAATACAGTCAGTGCTCAACACAAGGAAAATGAGAATGAATGAACAAATGAGAGCTAAGAAAATGAATGGTCAAAGTGTGATACTCTTGTGGAAGAATATCTGAGAAGAGGCTCACCCAGTGTATTAGTTTTCTATTGCTGCTGTAACAAACTGCCACAATCTCTGTAGCTTCAAACAATATAAAATTATAATTTTACATGCTAGGCCAGAAGCCTGAAACTGGTCAGCAGTACCCTCTGTATGGAGGGTAGGGAGGAGAATCTGTTGCCTTGCCTTTTGCAGCTTCTAGTGGCTGCCTACTTTCATTGGCCTGTGGCCCTGATGTGGACAGGAGACAGGGAAATACTGGGTAGAAGAGGGTGATTCCCCAGCAAAGTCCCCACCCTCAAGACTGGAAACCCACAATCTAATAGAAACAGGCATTCCTGTTTTTGCACCCAAAAGTTGCCTCTTGGCCTGCCACACTCCCCTGTCCTGTACCCATATAAACCTCAGACCCCAGGCTCCAGAAGGCTGATGAGAAGATGAACAGAAGAGCAAAAGAATGTCAGAACGGTGCAGCAGAGAGAAGAGAAGGAGCATCTGAATGCCCAGAGGAGTTCAGCTGGGGGCGGTTGGAGAGGAGAGCTGCCACTGGATGGCCACACTCCAGGGGAAGATCATCTTCCCACTCCATCCTCATCCATCCCGCTAAGGGCCACCTCCACCACTCAATAAAACCCCTGCATTTACCATCCTGCAAGTCTGTGTGTGACCTGATTCTTCCTAGATGCCAAACAAGGGTCCAAGTACCAAGAGGGCACTGAGCTGATTAACGCTTAAGCTGTCCACGGACAGCAAGGCTAAAAGAGCACACTGTAACATAATGCCCACTTGAGCTTTGAAGTGGCAGACATCCACTCCTGGACATTGCCGTGGGGCCAGAACCCAGGGGCACTCGCCCAGCTCCTGCACCTGCCTGCCTGCATGCTCCCCTTCCCATAAGGGATTTGAGCATGCCTAACAGGCAAGCCACACCCCTGTCACGTCCTGCGAGGAGAGTCATGGAATTCTCTTGTTTCAGCCCCACATCACTCTGACCTTCTACCTTTGTTGTCACATCTCCTTTTCTGACTCTTCTACCTCTCTCTTCCATCATTTAAGGACCCCTGTGATTACACTGGGCCCACCAATGTAATTCAAGATAACCTAGAATAATCTCCCCATTCTTAATTAATTACACCTGCAAGATCCCTGTGGTCATGTAAAGTAACATATTCACAAATTCCAGGAAATAGAATGTGGATATTTCTGGCAGGCCATTTATCTGCCTACTATATGCAAATCAAGCAATTTCTTGGATGTTACAAATACCAGCCATGCCTATTATTACATCGATAGGAAGATGGAAACTAAACTAGCAGGGAGAAGATGGCTGATACTAAATAAAATTCTTATAAAACAAAACCACAACGTGAGGGTCACAGGCAAGTACACAGGCTCATGGATTTGTCCAGAGAACATGTGTACATGCCTGCACTCATGAGTACAGTCCTTCTCAATCCATCCCCAATTCAAGGTTTTCTACCATGCTTCCTGAACTCCACATTGCCCTTATGCTTTTTCTCAAAAGTTTCTACCCAAGATGAGCGTTAGCTTGATTTCATGTGTTATGTGCCCAAGGACAGCAGTGTGATTTGACTCAGCTGTCTCCCACCTAAATAAAGACCATAGTGAGTAAAAGTTTCTATTTCTACACCGTCTCTTCAGTCTTCATAACATGGCAAGTGACACTCAGATTACTATTATTCAAAATCTTCTTCAGAAATCAGTTAGAGTACTTGAGGAAACAATGTGAATATCTTTTGTTTTAGATGGTTGTGATTTTCCAAAGAGTTCCTTGCTTTGTTATTTCTTTAAAAAGCCGCAGGAAAACTCTGTCAGATGGATTCCAAGCACTCTTATGGCCTGAAATTCAATTTTTCCCATTGATATTGCCTACCTTTAAGATTCTCCATCTCTCCTCTAAGGTCACATGTTTGGCTTAGCGTTAAGTATGGTTTTGTTTGCGTGTGGCTAAAAGCTCCTTCAAGGCTGCAACACACACCTTCATCACTTGTCATATCACTTGTGAGTCAGTCAAACGACTGGTTAATTTTTCTGCTTCTGTTCCCTTGAAACCTAATGGTCCTCCCTGTCCATATTCATCAGCTCCTCTCTCTCTGCTCACTCAGATTCCTGTAAATGTGTGTATATGTGTATGTGTGTGTGTGCGTGTATGTGTTGGTATACTGAGAGCCAAATTTCTTTTCCCTCTTAATACTGGATTCAGAATATAATAAGATAGTCTTCTAAAAATATCAGCACTAATCCTCTTGCCCTGAAGGGAATGGTATTAGGAATCTTGAAGTCTTTTATCAGACCAAACTCGATTTCTCTATAACTGGAAACCTCCTTATATCACAAATACTTGTCATGCAAATGTCTTCAAATGACAAGATAATGCCTTATCAATCACAAATTTTCCAAACTATGCAGATGTCTTCTGTTCTGTTTGTATTGTCATTTGTGGATGGTGCAAAAAAGTTAGAAGTTTATAAGAGAGAATATTATCAGGTCATTTCCCTGTATACTTCAAAAGTCAAACACCTGTTTCTCACTGGGTTTAAGAAACAGATTGTTACTCATGCAAAGTCAGTTAATAGTAATTAGACACTGATTTTGTTATGGAGCACTGGGTGTGGGGAAGAAAGTGGCACGAGGTAACTTTCTGGCAAACTGAAGTTCTGAACTGAATTTGATTTTTATAGAATGGCTAACAACCCAAGGGCATTATCCAAAGCTGACAGTTATATATCAAGGAGTTCTCTGAATTTGGCTAAGCTTATTAGGGACAGCATTATCATTTATAAGAAAATTCCATGAGGTTTTATAAGTACATGGAGTCCTCAAGAAATATCAAAAACACACACATAGTGAACTATGAGATAGGCAGTGTTCAGTCTCTGGAGAATGACAGGTTGTCTTGACCCAGGCTGGATTTGAAGCTGAGGTTGGAGATATTGCAGAGCTGAGTTTTTGATCACTAAGTAATCCCCTCCGGCTCATCTTCTCTGCTTAGTCTGTGTCATTTTTTTTTAAAGTACCTGAATTACATTTTTATGTTGCTATATAAATAAAGTGGTTTTGACATTTTTAATACATTTACAGTTCCTGTAAGTCATTGCTCCTTTCACGTAATTGAAAGGAGGGGCAGATGGTTTAAATTTGGTAATATAGTATCAAATGTAGTTCAAGTGCAACTCAGAAATAAACAAATAAACAAGCTTTTTAAAATTTAGGTACAAATGTAGTATTAGAGTTGTTCAAATCATAACTCAAAAATACCTTTACTCAAGGAGTTTAAATCATTGTATAAACTACTAGAGACACTCACAGCCAAATATGATGAACTGTGAGCTCCTTGAAAGTAGTCACCTTATCTTATTTTTCTAATTCAGGTGCCCAATCAATTGTCTAGAATGCATTTATTCATTCATTCAACAAAGTTAATTTTTGCCTGCTATTTACCAGGCCTATTCTGGGGCATGGAGATGAAGAAAGAAACATCACAGTTCCTCTTCTTAAAGACAGATACGTGGAAAATGTGGGGCAATGTAGAGCAGTTACTTCGCGAGCCTGGAGAATGACAAAAAAGACTTTGAGGAAGAGATGATTCTTGAGCTGAGCTTTGAAAGGGAGTACAGGAGGTGGTCAAAGCAAGGAATCGGGCCATTCTGGGAAGTGGAAAACTAAACAGGAATGGACTGTTCAGTGTATGTAATGAGAGTGGCAAAAGTTGATTTTTAGGAGACAACAAGAGGACATTTAAGAAAAGCCTGGTGTGACCACACTAGACATTTGGGTTCTATTGTGAAATTCATAGGTAGCTGTTGGACAGTTTTAAGAATGAGTAGAATGTGATCTGATTTGGGCTTTAGAAAGGTGACTCTTACAACATTATGAAACATAGATTGGTGTTAGGGAATCATGCAAAAATGGAAGCAGGAAGATCAAAAGAGATGTTTCAAAATCCAGGAGATGGCTGCTTCATCTAGAATAGGATTGATGGAAATGTGGGATGTAAAGGTAAAGAAAGAGTCAAAGATAATTCTTGTTTCTTGCTTGGGCAGCTGGCTGGAGGGCAAAGGTGTTTGCACAGGGAAGGAACAGTAGAGAAGTCATGCTTTGAGAACAAAAAGGTCAGAGGAGTGCCATTGAGGTTAGGATGATGGCACAGAATAATAACATAATAAAGTTTTGTACATCACTGCATTGTCTTTTTTTTTCAGCAGGCCATCCTTTTCAATTTTTTCTAAATGAAATCTACTTTATACTGCATTAACATCATCAACTTCCATTCCTTTTATGATAATAGCCTATTTTCATCAACCTCTTGCCACATTTTCCCCCTTCTTTGCCGATACCTTTATTTTCCTCTTGGCTATAATTTTGGCATACCACTCACCTTTCATGCCTTGCCTTACTATACCTGTCTGTGCTACAAGGATAAATTTTAGCATTAGAGATTACCTTCAGTCCCTTCCGATTCAAATAATCAGTCATTCCATGAGTCTTATTTTTTATTGTTGTTATTTGTTTGTTTTTGTCTGTTTGCAGCTAAACCATATCAGACCTTCTCTTTGCAAATGATTTGGTATACCTTGGTCAGTTTCACGTTGACTATTGCAAGGGTTCCACATGGGAGCATGTAAGCCTGAACAAGCTGCCTAAAGCTAATAACTAACTTCAAATAATGCCTATATATTTCCTTTAAAAATACTAAGAGAAGAAACAGAGCTAGCTTCAGGGAAGAAAGAGCAGCTAATGTTCAAACTTACCACCTATTTCTGGGTCCTGAGCAATTTGAACACTTTTAATTGTGCTGAAAATCATGATTTTCTAACAAATATGCAATAAAGTCCTTGGTTATTGCACAGTGGAACCAATCCTATGACAGATCCATTGAAAGATTTTAATTTATTTATTATATAAAAATAAAAAATAATAGCAATAAAGAAGAAATAATGTAGATAAAATAAGAAAAGTGAATTGGTCAGAAGTAAAAGAAGGAGACTATAAGTTTGAGAAGAGAAGTTAAACTTTCAAAATACATCTTTAGCTCTTTAAATAAATTATTATGCCCTCCATCAGAACTCCCTGCCATAAGTAACATAGCATGTACGGGTGTGTTTTTAAGTGTACCGATGGAATAAAGGATGGAGTGTGGCATCTGAGTCTCTCCTTCAGCTATCTGCTTGGCTTCCTTCCTTACCTTTTTGCAGTCTTTACTTAGATCATACCTTCTTAATAAGGTTTTCCTGGTCACTTCATTTAACATTGGCCCATCCTACATTCAACACTCCCTATCACCGTTCCCTGTGTTTTTTGTTGTTGTTGTTTGTTTGTTTTTCGGCTCTATAGCATCTAAATCCATTTAACATACTCTATGTTTAACTTTTTTAAAGTGTTGTTTTACATTCACGTACATCCTCCTTCATCCAACTAGAATGTTTATACTTACACTGTCTTTATGTGTATGTATACACACACACACACACACACACACACACACACACACCCCCCACACACCATACAGGTGTATATATGTATGTCTATATAAATGTGTATATACATATAGATGTGTCACACACCATATATATGTGCATTTATACACACATATGTATGAGGTATAAGTGTGACTTCTTTGTTCACTGCTATATCCACAGCCTCTAGAACAGTGCCTGATACAGTACACACTCAATAAATATTTTCTTAATAAATAAATGGTCAATTGTTTTAGAGCTATTTGCCTCTTTTAACATTTTAAAAAATTTATTTTCATAAGTTCTGATGCACTGAGAAAACTACTAAAAATGCTGTATAATCATAAAATTGAAAACAGAAGGACTATTGTGGTAGCAAGGATGAGAAATATCTTAGGTAATTGATCCTGGAGGATTTCCACTAATATTTCTTTCAAAAAAAGGGAGAAATCTCTTTCAAACAGCATAGATATAAGGTAACACTTTCATGATTTTTAGCTTTAGAAAAATTGATTTTTAAAACATTTTCATCAAGACTCCTACTTACATTTCTTGTGAAGTATGCTCTGGAAATATAAATATAATGGCCTAAGAAAAGAGAGGGAGGTCTTGTGAATATTCTGCTTTTCTATTTGAAATCTTTTTATTTTCATTTTAATCATTTGGATAATAGTCTCACAGTTGTTCCCCACTGTCTGATAGATTTAGAGCTTTTGGAAGAAGCCCAGAAATGAATGAGTAGGCAGAGTGTTAACTGATTACACATATCAGCAGTATAACATCAATTTATTAATTTCTGCTTCATGCCAGTTTTTTAAGGGAGTGGAGAGTAAAGGCATGTTGTAACCAGGATGAGCTTAAGGGGCAGAAGAGGCCCTACTGCATCTTACCTAAGCTGAAAATTCATGCAGACTCTATTTTATCATTAACTACAATGCCTTAGTCTGAATGAGAGGAGGAGAGAGAATACAGAGAGGAGATTTAGGGACCCAAAGACTAGTTTTTACTTCTTCACAAATCTGAAAACTCCTTAACGTATTTTCAGTTTTAATATGTTCATGTGTTCATTCATCTATTCAACAAAGACTTTTTGATTGCTTGTTCTGTGCCAAGACAATATGCTCTACCCAGGTTATATTCATTTTTTACTGAAAAAAAAAATGCATTGCACCCCTACTAGTGCCAGGCCCTGTTCCAAGCCCTCATGATAGAGAAGCAAAAATATTAAGTTCCTACTTTCACTGAGCTTACATTATATGAAGAGGAAAATAATAGTAAGCAAGAAACCAGGTTGGGCGTGGTGGTTCACACCTGTAATCCTACCACTTTGGGAGGCCAAGGCAGGAGGATACCCTTGAGCCCAGGAATTCGAGACCAGCCTGGGCAACATAGGGAGACTCTGTCTCAGAAAAAATAAATAAATTAAAAAGAAACCAAACAGACAAACAAACATACATTACCATGTTCTGGCAAATGCTATGATGCAATATATAGCTAGGTAGGTGGAAATGGAACATGGGATGAGGACATAGAAATAAATCTGTGGTGAAACAAATGGCAATATTATTTTTTGTGGTTTTGTGCTTAAGAAAGACAGCTCTAGAGGCAAGTGTGAGGGCCAGTCTGAATGATGGTAAGACTGGGGTCTGATGGTTAGATATCATTGCAGCTGTTTAGGGCAGAGATGGCAATGGCTATGCTAAGGTGGTGACAGTGGAGTAGAGTATAAGTAAATAGAGAGAAAGCATATATTCTATATAGTCAAGCACCACATAATGACATTTGCATCAACAGTGAGCCATATATACCACTATGGCACCATAAATAAGATTATAATGAAGCTGAATAATTCCTATCACTTAGTGATGTCACAGCCATTGTAAAGTAGTGCAATGTATTACCTTTTCTATTCAGATATGTTTAAGATACACAAATACTTATTGTTGTGTTACAATTGCCTATGTTATTCAATACGCCATATAGATTTGTAGCCTACGAGCAATAGTCTCTGTGGTATAGGCATGTAGCAGGCTATACCATCTAAGTTTGTGTAAGTGCACCCTGTGATGTTTGCACAATGGCGAAATCACCTAAGGATGCATTTTTCAGAATGTGTTTCCATCATTAAGCCATGCATGAATGTATGTACTATATATATGCTCTGTATAAATATAGAAAGCATATAAGTATATATGTGTATATACGTAACAGAGTATAAGTATGTATATTTATACTTTACTGTCTTGCCAAATATATTCACATATATTACATATTTTAAATATGAGGAGCAAGAGATAGGAGACTATAGAGAAGGTATAAGCCATGTTTTAAAAAGTAGACTAAACAGGACCAAGTCGCTGTTTAAAACTTTATTGAGCAGATGCTTAATTCAGGCAATATGCTAGATTCTCAGACACACAGGATACTTGTGTAGGTGTACAATATTTTACATAGGAAGGTCTGTTTTATATGAAGCAGCATGGACTGAGTCTGTTGCAAAGAATACTTAGCAAATTCATGAATTGTGCCTGCCACATTTTATGTATCTTCTCAAAAATATAATTACTTTTTAGGATGTGTTAGTAAAGGAAAATGTGTTTTCATTTTAGAGCCATGTTTGTATTACATAAGCAAGTTTTCTTTTCCCTGCAGACCACAGAGTCTGGTCGGCCCTACACTTACTGAAGGCAGTAATAAAGCCCTCAGACTTTCATAAAGAAACAATTCCCTTGAGGATACGAAGTGTGAGTTTCTGTATAATTCAAGAATTTACTGATTGTTTCCCACCTGAACTACCCTTTCAAGAATTTAGCCTCCAATTGCATATACACATGCACATACACTCACACACCCATATGAACTAATTTTTAAAAAGTGTTCTCTGGTACTGATGAGTATCATTTCAAAATGCTTTCTCTTCCCATTAGACGGGATTACTGAGCTGGAGAGTGGAGGGTTTGTCCCTTTCTGACCAGGACACTTATGAGCCTCATAAATTAAAATTTATGTCTTCCCTTGTTACTGATATACCACCTGGCTCTTTTGAATTATCACAGCCACCAAATGAATTTTATAGTCCATTGGGGGCTGTCCATGCTTGTTAAGGTGATATTTCCATCTCTGGCGTAGTGTGGAATCTCATCTCCTCCTTGGTGAATAATCACAGTGCCAAATCCCCCATCAGCTATCTTTTGCTTCTTGAAATGGACTTTATGTTATATATCCTCTACTTCTTCAAAGGCCAGTCAAAAGATGGCATTACGGTCAAACCCCATTGGACCTGTTGATTATCGCTATTGTATATCATCTTCCCACTTCAGAAGCCTATGGTTTTGTGACACATATTCCCTAGATGAGTTCCTCTATTTCCATCTTTTCCACCTATTTCTATTATTTCTTTTACAAGTTTCTATTAATTTCTACTTCTCTTTCTTCCTCTATTTTATTAAAGCCACTTAGTGATATGGTTTGGCTGTGTTCCCAGCCAAAATCTCATCTTGAATTGTAATTCAAATTGTAATTAGATCATGGGGGTGGTTCCCCCATGCTGTTCTCATGATAATGAGTGAGTTCTCATGAGATCTGATGGTTTTATAAGGGGCTTTTCCTCCCTTCACTCTACACATCTCTCTCCTGCTGCCCTGTGAAGAGGTGCCTTCCGCCATGATTGCAAGTTTCCTGAGGCCTTCCCAGCTATGCAGAACTATGAGTCAATTAAATCCCTTTTATTTATAAATTACTCAGCTTAGGGTATTTCTTCATAGCAGTGTGAGAATGGACTAATACACTTAGGTTCACTCTGCTAGGAGATTTACTTATGTCGCTGTATTTAATTCCTTCAAGACTGTAATTAGGTATTTCTATTCTTATATTACAGAAGCAAGAAAGGTGCCCAAGGTCAGGCGGTTAATAGGAGAAAAAGCCAGAATTCTACTTGAGATTATAAAATTCCCAAAGCCATCCTTTTTTACATCCAATACAGGCCGTTGGAAAAGTCATGGATTTCCTGTCATTCTTCTTGCCCTTACTATAGCATTTTCAATAGTTTACAGCAAACTCCTGGGAGAAGATGATGGAACTACAAGATTCACTTGAGTGTCTTTCCAGCAATTTTTTTCTTTGTCATAGAAAATATGGTAAGATAAAAAACATAAAATCTAGATTAAGGAGATTTAGTTTGGAGTATAGTTCTGGTCCCAATTTGTCAGGTGATCTGGAAAATTCCAATCAAGTGTGAAGGACATAATACCTGTAGTAACTTAGGGTTGTGGAGAGACTAAAATGAGACTGCTTAAAGGTGTAGCATTCTGGTGTCCATTGGGAAATCTGATTTATCCAGAGGCAAAAAATGGCTGAAGGCCAATGGCTTGTATGGTAGGACCATAATGAGATCACCTTAAATTTTCTGCAAACCAGATCCTGGGAGATACCTGGTTTCCTGTCTTTCCTGGGGCATGTATATAAAAAGCACTCAATACACATTTCCTAAATCTTTTTTTCCCCAGAACTGTACCAAAGTAAGTTTGTGTTGTTCACAACCAGGAAAATCTAATACAACGTCTGCTCTACAACTTCCCAGTATTTTGATTCCCATGGGATCTCAGTGAGCCAATATTCAGCATAGCTACTCCTTTGAGGAAAAATGGCAAATTTGAATAAATAGTAGGCAAGAAATTGGCTTTTGACGCCAAAAATCAGTCTCATAAAATAAGGCGGGATGGGTCTTAGAAGTAGCATCATAATCTGTCCTTGTCTTATAGCATGGCATCCCTAAATTGGCAATAATTGTCAATAAAGCTGACAGAGGGAACCCCTCAGTCAGAGGTAACACAGACGTGGAGTTCTTTCTCAAAGACAGAAACTTGTAAAACTGTCGTTGGCTCTGTTGCACGCCGATATCTCAATGACCTTGGAATGACAGCAAGTTCTGAGGTGAATTGCTAACTGAAGACAGTAATATTCTGAGCAGGGCTGCCTTTGTTGATGAAGAAACATAGGGGTTCATGTTCTAACTACTGGGTGGAAGGCAAGCCTCCAGTAGCATACATAAAAGGTGCCCCATTTTAATGCAACAGCTAATGTGGATTTGTGACTAAAGACTCCTAAGTGTTCACCCTTGAAAAGGATCAAGCTCCAGGCAGTGAGTAAATCGGGGAAGAAAAAGGTAAAAATTCTTTGAGAAATGTATCTTTTATTTTTGTTACAATTTGTCCATGAAGCGTTCTTTTAAAGGATTACTATGATTAGTATTTTCTTAAGGTGAATTTCAAATTTTGGTTTTGTTTGTTTTTTTGAAGAAAAACAAAGGTAGGGGTGTGTGTGTGCGTGTGTATGTGTGTTTGTGTGTGTGTGTATTCATGTGATGACTTTGTCGTGGTTTGTGATTACATTAAATTGAAATTCTTATGGTGTTGACTGGAAGATGACTGGAGAATATCTGATTTCCCAGCAATCAGTGTCATTACTAAACAAGTCTGTGCATGGATCTATATTTTTATTGTTTATCTAGCATAACTAGTTCACTTGAGGCTGTACCATAAGTGAATAAATGAATATTCCTTTCATTTACAGGGACATTTTGTCTACTAAGGGTGTGATGAGTTTTGGATAATACATAAAGTCAAGATCGAGATGGCTTGTCAATATTGAAGGTTTATTTTAGGCATCTAATTTTCAAGTATTAACTCATGGGCCCTTGGCCAAATCCAAATGCAACTTAATTATTTTTTGCTTCTCTAAATTTACTCCAACAATTGTATTTGAATACAGCACTGTACTCTATATCTGAGTGCTAGTTCTGCCATTACTATTAGATATCTGCTAGAGCCACTCTGAGGATGAGTGAATGGATCCTTATTAGTACTCACTCTCCTCCTCACAGATTTATGAAACTTAAATAATTCACATTTTGGAAAAATATAAAAGACATTTGAGATACTTGGTTTAAAGATGGTATAAAAGTCCAGTATTTCATAGCTTGCTTTAAGTGACAGAAGAAATTAGACTTGACATAGAAGAGAAGTTAAATAGAGAAACAGTGGAGAGCATAGTTCATTTAGGTCCTTTGATTACGTGGCTCAGATTTTTGGTTGTACATTAGAATCACCTGTGATACTTTTAAAACGACCAGTAACTTGACCCCAGCCTAATCCAACTAAATAGGACCCTCTGGGGATAGAGTCTGTGCACAGGTATTTTAAAATAGATTCTTGGCTGATTCTAGTCAAAAGCCAGAAACAAGTACATGCAGAGAAGTCCTAGTGACTAAGTGACAGTCACTAGGTGACTAAGTGATAGGTAAGTACCACTATCTACCTCCTATTTAACAGTATTAGTGGCCGGGCGCAGTGGCTCATACCTGTAATCCAGCACTTTGGGAGGCTGAGGCAGGTGGATCACAAGGTCAGGAGTTCAAGATCAGCCTGGCCAAGTGGTGAAACCCCATCTCTACTAAAAATACAAAAAATTAGCCAGGCATGGTAGTGGGTGCCTGTAGCCCCAGCTCCTCAGGAGGCTGAGGCAGAGAATTGCTTGAACCCGGGAGGCGGAGGTTGCAGTGAGCCGAGATCACACCACTGCACTCCAGCCTGGATGACAGAGCAAAACTTTGTCTCAAAAAAATAAACAAAAAACAAAACAAACAAAAAACAGTGTTAGCCTTGCAAAAGATAATGTCTTAGAAGAAGATAATGCCTTAAATCAAACATGCAAACTTAGTACAATTAAACGTAACCTAAAAATTCATAACTGTGCAACCATACTGTTTCCTCTGACATTCTTACCTTCTTTTTATATGTTTAATAATCAATACTGTTAGGTTGTTTCTATGATGCATTTCTTTTCTTTCATAATTCTAAATTATTTTAAATCTTGCCATAGCAAGTTAATTTTACCTTTAATTCTTCTGGATGACTGTACAGCCATCTGTAAAGAGAACAATATATTAATTGATAAGGCAATCAAATCAGAGTTCCAAATAGCTCTTGAGTCAGGAGCTTCTGAAAACTTGGAGAAAATATCAAATTCATGTGAGTTTCTCTAGTGAAATTAGTACTAGGGGATACCGGTGGTCCAGTTCTTGCATCGGCTAATGTCAGAAATGTTTGTGCAATCCTCTGTACTTTCAGGACTCCTCTGTTCTTCTCCAGTTTTCCAGAAACATAAACATAGCATCTCTAAATGATGACAATGTTGCATCCAATTTACTGTTAGTTCAGACCTTATTTGTTTATCTTGTCTATTCCACAGTGATTTTTACTTTCAGAACAATGTTAAATAATAGTTGTGGTACTGTACATCCTTTACCTGATACTAACTTTAATGGGAATTCATCTAAATATTTCACCTCTAAACATGATACTGGCTTTCAGTTTGATAGAAAATAATATCTGTGTGTATGCATGTGTTTATTACATATGTGCTTGTAAAATATATACATGTGTAAAATGCAATAATAAAAAGTATCTAACTCTTACAACTTAACAAAAAAAGACAAACCACCCAATTATAAAATGGCCAAAGGATGTGAATAGACATTTCTCCAAAGAAGATATACGAATGTCTAATAAATACATGAAAAAAGTTCAATATAGTTAGTCATTAGGGAAGTGCAAATCAAAACCACAATGAAATACTACTTCATGCACACTAAGATTACTGTAGTTTAAAAACAAAGCAAAAAAATGGGAAATAAGAAGTATTGATGAGGATTTTGAGAATTAGAATCCTCATACATTGCCTGCAAGAAGGGAATATAAAATGGTGCAGCCACTGAGAAAAAGTTTGACCATTCCTCAAAAAGTTTAACACAGACTTACCAGATGCCCCAGTGATTCCACACCTAGGTATATGCTTCAGGTAATTGGAAAGAGATTTTGTTATGGATCGGATTATGTTCCTACAAAATTAATTGGTTAAGTCCTAATCCTCAATGCTACTGTATTTAGAGATAGGCCTTTAAAGATATAATTAAGATCACTGGGTGTGGTGGCTCACGCCTGTAATCCCAGCACTTTGGGAAGCCAAGGCAGGTGGATTGCTTGAGCTCAGGAGTACAAGACCAGCCTGGGCAACATAGTGAAACCCCCATCTCTACTAAAAAATACAAAAATAAAATTAGCTGGCAGGAGGCTGAGGCAGGAGAATCGCTTGAACCCGGGAGGTAGAGGTTGCAATGAGCTGAGGTGGTGCCACTGCACTCCAGCTTGGGCAACAGAGCGAGACTCCATCTCAATAAAATAAAATAAAATAAAACAAAATAAAATAAAATAAAATAAAATAAAATAAAATAAAATAAAATAAAATAAAATAGCTGGGCATGGTGGTGCTCACCTGTAGTCCTAGCTACTCAGGAGGCTGATGCATGAGAATTACTTGAACCTGGGAGGTGGAGGTTGTAGTGAGCAGAGATCGCACCACTGCACTCCAGCCTGGGTGACAGAGCAAGACTCTGTCTTAAAAAAAAAAAAGATGTAATTAAGGATAAATGAGATCAGAAGGGTGTGTGCTAATGCAATATGACTGATGTCCTTATAAGAGGAGAGACATACCAGGGATGCATGGCCATAGAGCAGACGCCATTTGAAGACATAACAAGAAGGTGGCAGTCTATAAAAAAAAGGAGAGAGACCTCAGGAGGAACCAGCCCTACAGGCACATTGATCTGGAACTTCCAGCTTCCAGAACCGTGATAAAATAAATTTCTGTTGTTTAAGTCACCAAATGTGTGGTATTTTTGTTATGGCAGCCTTATCAGGCTAAAATAGATCTTAATAAAAAAAACTTATACATAATGTACATAGCAACACCACTTATAATAGCCAAAAGGTAGAAACTTTTGGCTTTTGAGGCCAAAAGTTGAGATAGACCACAGATGTCTATCTATTGATAAATAAAATGTTGTATCTGCATACAATGAAATTATTCAGTCATCAAAAGAAATGAAGTACTGACACCTACTACAACAGGAATGACCTCAAAAATATTGTGCTAAGTGAAAGAAGTTAGACAGAAAAGGTCACATATTATATGATTCCATTTAAATACAAAAATCCTAGATGGGCAACTCCATAGAGACAGAAAACAGATTAGTGTGGCCAGAGATCAGGAGGGAAAAATGCGGAGTGACTGGTTAATGGGTATGTGTTTTCTTTTGGGGTATAAGAATATTTTGGAACTAGAGAGAGGCAATGGCTGTATATTTTGAAAGTACAAATGTAACTGAACTGTATATTTTAAAACTCATCATGATATACACCTTAAATATGTAAAACTTTGTCAGTTGTGCCTCAATAAATTTGGAAAGAATGGAAAAATGGTGAAATCTAAGTTATGTGAATTTTACCTGAATTAAAAAAAAATAGATTGCCGGGAAGCACACATGATCCCAACTCACAACATAAAATAATCTACATATTTTAGTTAGATATTTTACCTAATGAGAAAGTCGAGCATAATTTTTAATATATGTTTAACATTTAAAATATGTTCTTACACTTTCCCTCTTACTATGGTAAATTGTATTAATAGATGTATTCATGTGGACCGACCTTGCAATCCTGCTATGAAACCTAGTTCATGTTCTGCTGCATGTTATTGGGTAATATTTTATTTAGTAATTTTGCATTTGTATCCATAAAATTTACTTATGGTTTCTATCTTTTTTGGCACTAGTTTGACAAGTTTTATTATCAATGTTTTGCTGGCCTTATAAAGATAAATTGAAAGCTCTTTTCTCTGTGTTCAAAAGCAATTAAATAGCATCAGAGACATTTTTCCTAAGTGGCAATGATGAAAATGGTTTTTGCTGTTGTTTTGGGCTGGAGTTAGGGATGGTGTGCAAGAAAGGAAGTGAATATATATATATATTTATTTTTTTAAACAAAGTTTTCCTTTTTTTCTCCTTTTTTTTCCCTATACAAAACAGCTTACTGGGTTCTCCAGCTCTTCTGGGGTCAATTTTTTTTTTAATTAAGGTATCACTCAATAAATTTTCATTGAACATAAATTTGTAACCAGTATACAGATGAGTAAACAGAATTTTCCCAGTACTTCCGAAACCCTCTGTTGCCTTACCATTTGCTACTCCATTACTAAGGGTAACCCCTGTTCTTACATCTATTACCATCGTTAGTTTTGCCTGTTTTTTTTTTTAACTTCATACAAATGGAAATATACATCACATTCATACTCTGCATCTAAGTTCTTTCTCTCAGCACTATAGTTAAGAGATTAATTGATATTGGGGTATTTATTTATTCTTATTGCTGTATAGTAGTCCATGAATTGGGAAAATACCACATTACATTTATCCATTCTTCTGTTGATAAACATTTCGGATAGTTTCCATTTACAGGCTGTTATGAATAGTTTTGTTTTTTATACTCCAGTATGTTTTTCTTTAAACTGTGAATGTATTTCTGTTAAGTAAATACTTGGAAGTAGAATTGCCAAGTCAAAGTGTGTGTTTATTCAGGTATAGCGGATGCTGCAAAACAGTTCCAAGTGGCATATAAATTTATATTCCTACCAGCAGTGTATGAGGACTTTAACTGCTCCAGTTCTTTATCAACCTTTGGTAATTTTTATCTTTTTAATTGTAGTCATTCTGTTGAGTATATTGCTGTGTAATATGGTTTTTATTTGCAATTCTGACATGATTAATGAATTGAACACCCCTTCACATATGTACTGGCTATTTGGATAGCCTTTTATGTGAAGTTCTACTAAATCTTTTGGTCAAATGTTCTATTGGATTGTCTTTTTTTGTACTAATTTTAGGAGTTCCTTATAAATTTTGATTATGATTTCTGAGCCCTTTGTAAATGTGTTACAAACATCCTTTCCCAGTCTGTGCATTACCATTTTATCCTCTTTTTAATGGTACCACATATCATTTTTTTCTTTATATTATTGCTTTTATTCTGGGTCAGTTTTGCATTTCACCTAAGTTTTGGAAGCATCAATAGATTTAAGCAAAACTATCTCTTGTTATTTTTGTACATTTGTCAGTGTCATATATCTGTGAATAGGTCCACAGTTTTATTTCTAATTTTGAGTTTTGCATTTTTCTTTCATTTTATCTTCTGAGTTATCTAGTACTGTATCAGTGTTTTTCCTCCAAAACAGCAGTCTTTGGATTTGTTTTTCAGTTTCAAATGTATTAATTTTGGCTTTTATCTTTATTAATACACTCTTTTTGTTTCCCTTAATTGTATTTTGTTGCTCTAATTTCTTGAGTTGAATAATTCATTTATTTTTATTCTTTCTTTTTAAAAGATGTGAGAATTTAATTGTATAATTTTTCAAGTACAGCTTTCTTTATGTCCTTAGGTGTGATACATAATGTTTTTATAATTATCATTTCATAAATTAGCTATAAGTTAGGAAACAAAATCTCCAAATCAGGTAGATTTTCTCAGAATGTTTTCCTCATCAAATTTACCAAATTCTCTGCCATGTGGCCCATCTTTATTCATTTAGGTTCTACCTTTTTGATCAGCAGGAGATGCACATAACTCCCAATTACACTTGGCAAATGCACAGATATTCCGTGTGGCAGTTTAGCATTTACCCACCTGTTTTTATCTGCTTCTGATTCATCATTCTCTGCCCACTTTCCACCCTGAAATTCATCTAACTTGCTTCCTGAAGAGATGGCATATAAAAACTACCTGAGTGGTCTGTATCTTCTTTTTGCTTTACTTATTCTCAAAGAAAGGACCATGAGATGGCCTTGCAGCCCACATGGGAGGGACTCCAGGTGAGAGACTGCTATTTGATATTCAGGTCATGTCATCTGCTTTCAAAGAAGTCTGTGTCCTATGAGGCATCTATAGAAACCTGGATCAGCTATAGTAAATCTTTCTTAATTTGGTTTTGTCTTAGTCTGTTTGGGTTGCTGTAAGAGAATACCACAGACTTAGTAATTTATGAAGAGCAGAAATTTATTTTCTCATAGTCCTGAAGCCTGGAGGTCCAAGATCAAGGCACCGGCAGGTTTGGTTGATGGGTAAAGGCTGCTCTCTTTTTCCAGGATGACATCTTGAATGCTGCATTCTTTAGAGGGGAGAAATTCTATGTCCTCACATGGCAGAAGGCAAGAGGACTAAAAGGAATAAACTGCCTCCATCAAGTCCTTTTATAAAGGCACCTAATTCCATATAAGAGGTAGTAGCCCTCATGACTTAATCACCTCTTCAAGGCCCCACTTGTTAGTACTATCACATTGGCCATTAAATTTCAATACATGAAGTTTGGAGGGGACAAAAACATTCTAACCATGGCATTCTGCCCCTGGCCCCCAACATTCATGTCCTTCTCACGTGTAAAATATATTTGTTTTATCCCAATAGCCCCCAAAAGTCTTAGCTTGTTCCAGCATCAATCTGAAGTCTAAGTCCAAAGACTCAACTAAACATCATAAGGGTGATACTCAAGGTATGATTCATTCTGAAGCAAATTTCCTCCCAGCTGTGAGCCTATGAAATAAAACATGTTACGTGCTTCTAAAATACAAGGGCAGGACAGGATAGGATAGACATTCCCATTCCAAAAAGGAGCTACGGGAGAAAAGGAAAGGGGCAAGAGGTCCCAAATAAGTCCAAACCCAGCAAGGCAAACATTTCATCTTAAAGCTCCAGGGGACCTTGCCCCATGGCTTTGCAGGGTGTAGCCCATGCTTCAGCTCTTCATGTTAGAGTCGTATGCACGTGGCTTTCCCAAGCTGATGCTGCACACTGGTGGCTCTACAGTTCTGAGAGTGAGCCTGGCTCCATGGCTCCATGAAGGAGGGATGACCCCTCATTGCCCTAATGGAGTCTCTCCAAATCAACCCTGACCCTGTAGCAAGTACCCACCTAGGCTATGAGGCTGTCCAAGACATCCTTTAAAATCTAGGTGGAGGTATTCCTGCATCCACAGCTCTTGCACTTTGTACACCTGCAGAGTTAACACTGTGTGAATACAGCCATGGCTGACTGCTTGTGCCCCTCGGAGTGGCAGCTTGAGTTGCATCTAAGCCTTCTTGAGCCACAGCTAGGTTGACTGAGTAGTGCTGCCCTAGAATATAGGGAGCAGAAACATGAGGCAACCCTTGGCAGTGAGCCCCAAGTTCTTACAGGTGCCCTGGGACCCTCCCCTGAACCCATTCTGCCCTCAAGGCTCTAGCACCCTGGTAGCCCAAAGATCTTCAAAGTGCCTTCAGGATCATTCTCCCATTGTCTTGATGAACAGCACCTGGCTTTCTTCTAGCTAGACTAACCCTCTTATTAAACAATTGCTTGGCCACACCCTTGGTTTTCTCTCCTGAACTTGCTTTTTTTTTTATTCTTTACGTGATCAGGCTAAAAATTTTGCAAATTTTTACATTCTGCTTTTCTTTTCATTATAAATTGCATCTTTATATCATTTGATTCTTCTCACATTTTACTACAGGTAGTTAAGCCACACAGCACACTGGATGCTTTGCTGCTTGGAGATTTCATCCAACAGATATCCTAGCTCCTCACTCCTAAGTTTTTCCTTCCACAAAGTACTAGTGAAATGGGATAGTTCCCTTGACCCCTTCGCGGAACTTGTGAAGGGGTTTGCTTGTTTACTCAGTCTACAGCTCTCAACCCCTCACGGGAGGGGAAGCACACAGGTGAGCAGGTGCACGGGCCAAGACTAGTGCGTCTGGGCTCCAGCAGGAGCAGAGCTCTGTGAGGCCCTGCGGCAGGGTCTACGGAGTACGTGCGGCCCCTGGAGCCCCCGAGGGCGTGTGTTACAGTGTGCTCTTTTAGCTTTGCCCTCTGTGGACAGCTGAAGTGTTCAGCAGCTCAGTGTGACAGCTCTCTGTATCCTGAGCTCTTGTTGGGCGTCCAGAAAGAATCAGGTCACACGAACGAATTGAAGATGGTACATATCGGGGATTTTGTTGCCGATTAAAGTGGCTCTCAGCAGGATGGAGAGCTGGAATGGGGATGGAGCAGGAAGGTGGTCTTCCCCTGGAGTTCGGCCCTCTCCGGCCAGACAGTTCTCCGAGGTCTCACTGTCAGGCCGTCCCTCTGAAGTTAAGTGGCTTCTCTCCAACATCCGGGAGCATCTTCTCCTCTCCTCTGCTGTTCCACTCTGCCACTCAGCTACTCTGTCGCGCCTCTGCCAGTGGAGCCTGGGATTTTTATGGGTACAGTATAGGGGGTGGGGGTGGGTCAAAAAGCAACATTCAAGCAGGAAAACAGGAATGTATGTTCTCACTCTGGGCCGTGGTCCCAGGCTTGAAGATGTGGCTGTAGCCGGGGACTGCCCTCTTCTACCGAGTATTTGCCCGCCTCCTGTCCGTATCACTCGGACATAGATATAATTCAGTCAAGTTATTTTTCCTTTTATAACAAGGGTGGCCTTTCCCCCAATTTCTAATACCTTGCTCTTCATTTGCATCTGAGACCTCATCAGAATAGTCTTTACTGTCGTGACCACCTAACTAATCCCTAAGAAAACCGAGGCATTCCCTACAGCTCTTCTCTTCTTTTGAGCCCTCACTTGAATCATCCTTAGTGTTCTGTTCATGGCAATACAGGCTTTTTTCAGTATTCACTTCAAAACCATTTCCACCTCTATCCATTACCTGGTTCCAAGCTGTTTCCACACGTACAGGTATTTGTTATAACAACATCCTACTTCCCTAGTATCAATTTCTGTCTGAGTTCATTTTTGCTGCTATAACAGAATACCACAGACTGGGTAATTTTTTTTAAAAAACAGTAATTTATTTTCTCATAGTTCCAGAGTCTAGGTGCTATCAGGTTTGGTTACCTGGTGAGGGCTCCTTTCTGCTTCCAAATGGCGCCTTCAACACTGCATCCCCCAGAGGAAAGGAATGCTATGTCTGCAGGTAGCAGACTGTGGAAGAGAAAAAAGGAATTACCTCCCTTCATCAAACCCTTTTATAGGGCACTTAATCCCATCCAGGAGGGATGACCCCTCATGAATTAAATACCCCTTAAAGCCCCCACCTGTTAATACTATCACATTGGCCATTAAGTTCAACACATGGCCGGGCGGGTGGCTCAGGCCTGTAATCCCAGCACTTTGGGAGGCCAAGGCAGGCGGATCACGACGTCAGGAGTTCGAGACCAGCCTGACCAACATAGTGAAACTCAGTCTCTACTAAAAATACTACAAAATTATCTGGGCGTGGTGGCACGCGCTTGTAATCTCAGCTATTCGGGAGGCTGAGGCAGGAGAATCGCTTGAACCCGGGAAGCGGAGGTTGCAGTGAGCCAAGATCGTGCCACTACACTCCAGCCCGGGTGACAGTGCGAGACTCCATCTCAAAAAACAAAAGAAAAAAAGTTCAACACATATATTCATATATTTTGGAGGGAACAAAAATATTCAAACCATAGCAGTTCCCAAATATGCTTTTATGGAACATTATTTCTAAGTTTTGGATTGAAATTATGGCTATTTGCTTCACAGAAATTTGTTTTCCTTCTTCACTTCTTGTTTTATAGTTTTTCATTGGCTCTGTGGGGAGCAGCTAACATTCTCCATCCTACCATCTTTGACCATGTTTCTATGGTATGTTACTTTTACAAGTAATTTGTATTAATACTGCTTTTACCAATAAACAAAACATAATTCAGTGACTTTAAAAGGTATTTTGTTACATTATTATTTAATGAAGTGATTTCCTGTCTGTCTGTCTCTCTGTATGATTGTACCTTTTTATGAATCAAGGTGAAAACATGGTACAATGTACAGACAGCCCCAGACTTATCATCATGACTTATTATTTTTCAACTTTATGATCATACCAAAGCGGTATACATTCAAATACTCATACAAACATTCTATTTTTCACCTTCAGTACAATATTTAATACTTTACATAATATGTTCGACACTTTATTATAAAATAGGCCTTGTGTTACATTATGCTCAACTATAGGCCCATTGAAATGTTCTGAGCACTTTTAAGGTAGGCCAGGTTAAGCTATGATGTTCAGTGTGTTGGCTGTATTAAATACACAACCCTCTGTGTCTGGAGGGTAATGATGCAGAGATCTACCTCCCTTGTGGCTGCTCAGGACCACACTTCTATCTGTCAGTTCCCAAATAAAATCACCATATGAGGACAAGCTGGACCTGTCTGCCTCCTTCTTTGGTTTCTTGGTTCCTTCTGCAGATGAGGGCCACTTCATGTATGGAACTCTGTCACAAAACCCTTAACAAGTGGCGAAGCCAGTCTTGTCTCTAAACTTCATTGTTTTGAGTGCTATACACATATCCAGTTGCTAGAAGAAGAAAAGTAATTAAGGCAAAGAAGAGAGCAAATACATGGCATTTTTGAAGACATAAAATGCATTTGTTATTGCTTGAATATATTGTGAGTGAGAGAGAAGCTAGAGATGGGGCTGGAGAAGTGATCAGGGCAGGTGTGTGTGTGTGTGTGTGTGTGTGTGTATGTGTGTGTGTGTGTGTGTGGCCGAAGAGATTGGACTACATTAGAAATAAAGTGAAAAACTGCTGAAGACTTATAAGGGCAAATGCCATGCAAAATTGTGTGATTTTGAAGTACTGTTCTGACTGCAAAGTAGAAAATGGATTTGAGGAGAGCAACACCAGTGAAAGGGGACCAGTTGGGAAGGTACTGTAGCACTCTAGGAGAAAATGAAGTTGCCTTGCTGACAGTGGTGACAGTAACAATGAAGAGAAGTAGAAAGATTTGAGAGATTTATGAGCTAGATTCCATGACATTCAGTTACCAGTTGGATTTCAGGGGTGATGAAGTAAGTGGAATCAAAGATTACTAAATATCAGACTTGAACAATTATTGGGATGTTGATAAATAGGAATAAATGTATTGAGGGAGAGAATTTTAGCTTTAAACATTTTCATTTTCAGAATTGCCTGTGTGTATGCGTTTAATCAGGCAGTTGGATATGTATGCCTGGAGCTCAGGAAACATCTGAGGGGTGTGTGTGTGTGTGTGTGTGTGTGTGTGTGTGTGTGTGTGTTAGTCACCTGATGTATTTGGTAGTTGGTGCCATGGGCCTAGAAAGCACTGTCCTGTGAAGTTTCTAAGAGTGAGAAAAACAGAAGAACCAAGACAAGGCTTTGAGAAACACTGATATTTAAAGGATAAGTACAGGAGGCAGAGATTAAGTACATGAGTACTTAATTAAGTACAGAGTACATGAGATTAAGGAAGGGCGACCAGAAGGGTTATGCTGTAGAGGCATGAAGAAGGGAAGTTCATGGTAAGACATGAAGCCAGATAAGAATGCAGAGTGCAGTTGGATTTGGTAGAGACGCAAGAATGCTGAAAAATTTTCTTTCTCTTTTATTTTTTCCTTTGAGCCAAAGGTCATCTGACTCGTGGGGTAAAAGTTTCCAATGTGAATAATAATACTTTTTATTGAATTTAAAATGCAACACAGAGTTAATATTTATTTAAAAGCAGAGTTTGAAGTAGGCACCTAGAAGTTTAATGAGATTGGATAGTAGTGTGATAACATCTGTGAACTCTGTCACTTATGAATAGCCAGTATAATGGGCACATATAACCATGGATCACCTTCTCTTTTCACACTTCTTCATGTTTTCCTTAGTCATTTGTTTTTATCTTCAGTTCTGCCAATAGGTGCTGGCTCCATCCAAGAAAGTACACCCCAAGGTCCTGAGGAATGAGATCATTCAGGAAGAGGGTGGCAAGTCTTTACTGTGCTTCTTTGGTAGATGTTTCTGAAAGGTCTAATCTTCAGAGCCATGCATCTATAGGACAAATGTATCTTTTTCTTGCTAATGTTGGCCAAATCACATAGCACTACTTTGATGAGTTATTATGCCAAAAAAGTGCCTGACTCGACTCTGTCTTACAGACACACCTTCCTCACCAGCAGTGAAGAGGGAGGACAAAAGGAAATAGGGAGAAAATAAAATTCTGTCTTGTCCCTTTGAACACATATGGAGATCCTGTAGAGGAAATTGACATTGTGGCTGTATGTGCCCATTATACTGGTTATTCACAAGTGACAGAGTTCACAGATGTTATCACACTACTATCCAGTCTCATTAAATTTCTAGGTACCTACTTCAAACTTTGCTTTCAAATAAATATTAACTCTGTGTTGCATTTTAAATTAAATAAAAATTATTATTTTTCACATTGGAAACTTTTACCCCAAGAGTCAGATTGTCTAACATCTAGTTTAACTTTATAAGCATTCAACTTTAACAAATATTTTACACAATGATTTTAACTGAAACAATGAAACTGGGGACATTGTTCTATATTTCTAAATCTCTGCCCCATCCCTTTTTTATTTTTGCTTCCTCTAACCTTATGTTCCTTAATCATTCTGATAGTTTGTGTACATGCAGAAGGAGGTGGGGGTGGCTGGTATTGCCACCTTTTCTTTCTCTGGATCCTGATTACTTCTTGTTTTATTTTTCCACTTCATTTCCATGTTTTTCCTCCTCCTACTCAGTGTCAAAAAAAAGAGTGCTTTTTAATATGTTTAAAAAAACACTTTGAAATGATACCATCTCTGTCACTTCACTCTCACTTTTTAAATTATAAACTAAAATAAAAATTGGCATATTGATGAAAGCTTCCAAGGCTGCTGCCTGCTGCTTCCTGGTGATTAGGTGTGAGAAGGTGGCCTTTCTCAGTTCAGATAAAAAAATATGCAAATGATGATATTTAAATCAAAATGACAGTATAGTAGAGGATGGAGGGGCACATTTATTCCCTTTCTTCCCAACCCTTTCTCTTTTTTATATCTAAGGAGGAGTTTCTAACTTTATGGATGAGTTGAAGATTAAGGAAAAGTTCATACCTGCACACCAAGTACCAACTTAGAAAGAAAACATTCCTGACCTTGCTTCAAATATTCTAAATTGTCCCTCTTTTATTCAGATAACGCATTTGGTTTTTGTGACTTTTCTGCATTCAAAACTATCTTACATGTTTTGAGTACTTGATGTGGGCCAACCTTTATGCTGGGCTTTTAAATATGTTTTCATTTAATCCATATACTCATCCTCCAAAGTAAACATTTTTATCCTCATTTTCACTCATATAAAAATCTAAGTGTGGTCCAGGTACGGTGGCTCATGCTTGTAATCCCAGCACTTTGGGAGGCCGAGGGGGGCGGATCACGAGATCAGGAGTTCAAGACCAGCCTGGCAAACATGGTGAAACCCCATCTCTAGGAAAAATACAAAAATTAGCCAGGCGTGGTGGTACATGCCTGTAAATGCAGCTACTTAGGAGGCTGAGGCAGGAGAATCGCTTGAACCCAGGAGGCAGAGGTTGCAGTGAGCTGAGATTGTGCCATTGCACTCCAGCCTGGGTGACAGAGCGAGACTCCGTCTAAAAAATACAAAAAGTAAAAACCCAAAAACCTAAATGTGATGTTGGGACGTATCTAACACTAATGGATCCAAGATCACTGACCAGAAAGCGAGGGATGCAGGCCTGGGATTGTTTCATTCTAAATTACATGTAATTGTCACCAACAAGAAAAGGGGTAGATATGCTCAGGGTGGACACTGAAGTGTGTCCAACATCTCTGTTCATGAGTAGAATAGAAGACTAAAAACATTTTCAGGTCTATTTTTAATGACTCTGAATCATCAACATGAATGCAATCCAGAAAAAGATGCACAAATATTGTGCAGTGACTGGAAGGAGCATGCAGATAATTTTTTCTTATTATTATACTTAAAGTTCTAGGGTATATGTGCACAACGTTCAGGTTTGTTACATAGGTATACATGTGCCATGTTGGTTTGCCCCACCCATCAACCTGTCATTTACATTAGGTATTTCTTCTAATGCTATCTCTCCCCAAGCCCCCACCCCCCAATAGGCCGCAGTGTGTGATGTTTCCCTCCCTACGTCCATGTGTTCTCATTGTTCAACTCCCATTTATGAGTGAGAACATGTGGTGTTTGGTTTTCTGTCTTTGTGATATTTTGCTGAGAATGATAGTTTCCAGCTTTATCCATGTCTCTGCAAAGGACATGAACTCATCCTTTTTTATGGCTGCATAGTATTCCATGGTGTTTATGTGCCACATTTTCTTTATCCAGTCTATCATTGATGGACATTTGGGTTGGTTCCAACTCTTTGCTATTGTGAATAGTGCCGCAATAAACATACGTATGCATGTGTCTTTATAGTAGCAAGATTTCTAATCCTTTGGGTATATACCCAGTAATGGGATAGCTGGGTCAAGTGGTATTTCTAGTTCTAGATCCTTAAGGAATTGTCACACTGTCTTCCACAATGGTTGAACTAATTTACACTCCCACCAATGGTGTAAAAGCATTCCTATTTCTCCACATCCTCTCCAGCATCACATGCAGATAATTTTTAACTAGCATGCATAGCCACACTATGGCCACTCTATAGAATTTGAGTCTGAACTCTAAATTTTCCATCATGTATTCACATATTTAGAGTCACAGTCAATTTAATGTGTTACCCAATAAACTGATGTAATCATAAGTTTTAATATGTATAAAGACCAGGAATTGGGGTTTTCTGGTGTAAATAAGAATCTAGTAACTGTGACTTCACAAATGCTGTGAATGTTTTGAAACTTAATGGGTAAGGGAGTACAGTGTGAATATAGTTTACTGTAGACCTTGGCTGGATATGATGTGTGAATTTCTCTGCTTCTATCTAAAAGGGTGTTTTTTTTTTTTTTTTTTTTTTGCACAAAAAGAGGCGAAGGAAGATCTGGAAAACAGGAATGGATAAAATTTTCCAAACAATAGCTATCTTTGTTGAGTGAAGACTGACTACTTGAATTTTAAATTTCTATTATTAGGATGTAATTAATCTTACAGTGACACTAACTGGGTTTCCAAAAACAGTTTAACCCCCAGGATACAAGCAATATCCTAGTAAAGCACTAGGGTCATATGCAACCTCCCAGCTGAATCCAGAATTACAGATGCATGTAAGAAAACTTATTTTCTTACTAGGAAAGCTAATACTAACTAACCTAGGATTAATTTTTTCAAGCTACTGATATAATTTAAAGAGTGAATATATGATTAAAATTTTACAGAAATATAGAGAGGAAAAAGAACACGGTAGAGTTTGCCCCTTTGGACAAATGGCTGAATAACTATAGTACAGATACTTCTTACGATGTTTAAAGGGTCACATGTCCCATTCATGCCTCATGGCCTCATTATACACCTGCTTCTGATGAAACTGTCTTTTTATGATTTCTGTCTCATAAATGTTCAATCCTTCAAATGGAGAGAGGTAGCAGTCTATCTCTGTAGTTTAAAAGAGAACATTTGAGTAGAATTGGGCATCTGTGTCTTTCATTTTAGCCATGTAGAAAAGACAAAACAAGAAGAAGTCAGGAGATATGGATAGCTGGCACTTTGCCTATTGTGAAGATTACGGGAACCCCAGCAGCTTCCTCTAGAGACAACACATCTCTTTATTCTTTTATCAAAGAGAATTCATCATGTTGAAAGTCTAAACTCCTTTAGCAAAAGAGAGACCTGATGGTGCTTTTGTGTCTCTCATCCTTCACTACTGTTTGATCTCTGAGCCTTTTGAGAAGTAGGTAGCATGAGACCAGGAACCTAACAGCATGTCTACTCCTGCCTCCTCCTCCCTCTTCCCCTTCCCCCACCCAAACTCTATGGGAAGAATAAGAATGAGGTCTTGTAAATTTGGAATATGATTCAGCAGGTTTTATATAAGCGAGAAAATAGAAGTAGTTATCAGATAACAAGTGCAGTTTCATGTTACACGTCTTAGCTTCTCTGTGAGATACAAAAGAGATGCCACCCTGGACAAACTCTGATCCAGAATCTTCTCAACATACTTCTAATGATTGTACTCATGATGGGTAATCATTTTTAAAGATTCTAAGGGCAACAGAGTTACAAATTTGTGACACTCTTTTCTTAAAATTTACTCCAGGTCAGAAAAAATAACCAGATTCAAAAGTAGATATACCTTTAACCCCAACTTGTTAGAATTTGCCAGTCTTATATTGGTCATCCCTCCCTTCAAGCATATGTGCTAAGAGTTAAATGAAAGAATGCCCCCCTCTTTGGCATTAATTATCTCTCACCTTGGAAAAGCAAATAATATTTATTCTGACAAGTGGTGTACTGCAATTTAATTCTGACCCTAAACATGGGGAGTTAGTGTCAGATTCCAGAGGTTTAACGCCATGGTCCCCAACATGACTGCCTTTACTTTAGAAACCAGATGCCCACTGGGAGTCCACAGGCCGCTTGTAATTATGACTGAATGGCTATATATCTGGAGGTCGCCTGGGCCTCTCAGGTTTGATAATTCACTATCACAACACGCACAACTCAGTAAAGTACTATGCTTATAATTAGAATAAAGTACTATGAGTAAAGTACTGTGTTTTGTAATTTTATTATTAAGGATAAAATTCAGGACCAGTCAAATGAAGAGACACATTAGGCAATGTTTGGGAGGGTCTAAAATGCAAAGCCTCTGTGTCCTCTCCTTGTGGAATTAGGATACATCACCTTTCTGGAACAACAGTGTGTTCACCAAACAGGAAGCTTCACTGAGCCTCAGTGCTGAGTCTCTATCGGGGCTTTATTACATAGACATAATTAATTAAACTCAATCTCTAGCCTCCTTCCTCTGCCTGGAGGTCAGGCTGGTCCAAAGTCCCAACTCTGTCATCATATGGTTTATCTTTCTGATAACCAGGCCCATCCTGAAGCTATGTTAGGGCCTGCCATGAGTCTCAGTGTAAACTCAGGTGTGAGCCAAAGGGCTCGTGAATAACCAAGGTACTTCTATCATTCAGGAAATTCCAAGAGTTTTCGAAGCTCTGTGCCAGGAACCCAGAACAAAGACCAGACAAATTTTTAAGTAGACAATAATGTGAAATCTAGATGAATCTTGAACATTGTGCAGCTATAAGAGTGCTATTGTTTCAAACCAGAAAACAAAGGCTCAGATTTTCTACTTAGCTCACCCTCGGTCAAAAACATTTGTGGCAGAAATAGAAACAATACTAGAACACAGGCTCTATGGCTGCCTGCTGTGTCCTCTGATCCTTGTGTCTCTTTGTACATTAGCTTGCAGCAAAATGCCCTCCTTAAGCTGTCTCTATAATATGCATTTTAAGACAGCTAATTTGAAATTAAGCACAAAACACTTCAACATGGGGTAGGATCTTCCTGCTTCCTCTCTCCTTTTCTATGCAGCAGCCTGAAGCTCCTTACCTCATGAAAATGAAGAGATGACTTCTTAAGGGTAAACATTTTGAAGCATACATAATGCCTGTTTGAGGAGGACAGGGCACCGCAACATTTTTTTGAGAAGAGTTACATTTTTGAATGACCCTTGACAGTTTTTGCCACTTCCTGTAATCTGCTGTACTTAATCCAAACCAGTAACTTCTATATACAACCCTACATGATGGTTTGATTTTCAAGAGGATATATAGAAAATGGCTTGTCTTTGATGATGGACTATTCAAAGCTATTTCATCTTTCCCTTCATCCTTCAAGGGAGAAAGACCAACACTTTCCATTTTCTGAGAATTCATCAATTCTACAGTCCCAGTGCCTAGATGAAAATCATACTTAGCTTGCCCTTTGTAGACTTATCTCTCTTGTCCCAAATAAGAAAAAAATCATTGCTCTCTCTGCTGATTCAACTGCAGGAGACACTTATAAACCAGTTTTGCTGTTTGCTTTCGCAAACCCATGTGGCCGTATTTACACATTATCAGGATTATGAAGTTCCTAGTGATAATTTATGCTTGCAGATAATTGTGGCTTAGATTCAAGGCCTATTCTGGCTTGATTTCAATTGTTTAAAATCAAGCCTGCCCTCATACAGACACTAAGCCTTCTTGTTTCTCTTCATTACCCATTCTGTTTTTTCCTTCTACTTTCCATCATCCCAGATATTTAAAGTATAGTGACAGAGTTTAGCTTTTGCTATTATAAAGATATCAAAATCTTCCACTGCTATTTATCCTATATATGACTACTTACTTTTTAAAAATGAACATCACGAATCATGCCTTTTTTTCCTCAAAAACTTGTTATGATCTTTGATTGCCCTCCATTAATTTAAAAATGAAGTACAAGTTTAGCTTGGCATTCAAGGTCTGTCATAACAAGATTTCTTTCTAGTATATTATTCCTTCCATATATGTTTGATCTACTTCCAATAGGGTCTAAAAAGTATTTTACGTATTCCTGTCAATGTTTTACAAATTGCTTTTGTTATTTCCATTTTTTAAAATAACATTTCCTCAAACGACGAAATTTTGTCATCTTTCAGATTTAACTCAAATGCCATCTCTGCCAGAAAATCATTCATTCTGTCCCTCTGACCTTCCTTTCTTCTCTCCATGGACAACAGACTTTTATTGATAAACCACCGTAAGTCAGGTACAGCATTAGTTGCTGGAAATTCAATGGCGATTAATCTGGAAATAGGAGGCTCCTTCCTTCAGAAATTTTAAAGCCCAGGGAGAGGAGACAGACCAATACAACGAAGCATAAAGAATGCCATAATGGAGGAAGTATAAGGTTCTATGGGGACACATAAAAAGGGAACTTGGACCAGTCTTGAGCAATGAAAGAATGATTCTGAGAAAAAGTGATATCTTTGCCAAAGCTAGAATAAGAATTTACTACATGCCAGGGTAAGGAATAAGGAAGAGGGAGGAAGGCTCCATGCAGATGGGAAACATGTGTTAAGGCCCAAAGGGGAGAAAAGCCACAGCATATTTGAGGAATACACATAATTTCCAAATAATCCGAGCATAAAATGAATGAAAGAAGTGATGAAAGCTGACACTGGGAGGAAAGTAGGAGATTATTTCAGTTGCTTTTGAGCAATGGTGGGAAAGTTTATCCAAAAGAAATTTGGATTTACAGGTCAAGAAAAAAGGGAGATTTAGTTAAAAAAATTTGTAGTTGAGAATCTTCCATATATTGTTGGTCACTAACTTAATAACAGAGTGTGGCTATCACTCAAGATGAGTATGCAAAAATGAGACCCTAAAACAATTCTGAGGAATGCATTGGTAATTAAGGAATGGTGAGGTAGTCTAAAGAATGGCCAGAGAACTGGGAGAAAAACCAGAAGAATCTGATAGCATATCAGCCAGACACAAGGCTGGTCTGGCAAGACACAAGGTAAGGCTAGTCAAGAATTAAATGTTCCTAAGAAGTTATGTAAGATGAGAAATAAATATGCCCAATGGATTTAGCCAAAACAAAATCACTGGGAGCTCTAAAAATAAAAGCACCTTCAATGGACTAGTGAGGCCAGACAGCCTTGGGTTGAGATAAGACTGAGAAATAAATGGTAACACTGCAAGTGAGAACTGTTATAAGAAGACTGGCTGTGAAGGGATGGAAAAAAAGACATTGGTAGCCAAAGGTAAATATGGGTTGAGAAAAGGATGTTTTACGTTATGAGAGAAATAATATGTTTGGACAGTCCAGAGGAAGGTACAGGAGAAAGATTAGGAATACATGAGAGGGATAAACGCTTATTTAGTATGTCTATGGAAAGAAAGCAAAGCACAACAAACTATTACTCTTAGGCAAGAGGTTAATTACTTATTTGTAGCCAACAGGAGATTCCGAAAGTTAGGTGTGGATTTCTCATAATGCACAGGTTTGCTGGGCAGAGAGTTGGGAAAATCCCTGCCTGATGACTTATACTCTTTCCCAATTTCCATTATATTTGACTTGTGGCTTCTTTCGGCACTTACTATATTATCTTATGGGTTTCTGGTTAATTTGTTTTGTCTCAAGCAGAATATAGATCAGTGCTGTCCAACAAAATTTTAATGTAATTCACACATGTGAGCCCTATATGTAATTTTAAATTTTCTAGAGTCACATTAAGAAAAACTTAAAAAGAGAAAATTAATTTAAATAACGTATTTTATTTAACCAACATATCCAAGATATTATAATTTTAACACATTCTTATTCATGTGCCCCCTGACAATGTTTTGGTCAATGACAGACCGCATATATAACAGTGGTCCCATAAGATTACAATGGAGTTGAAAATGTCTGTGGCCTGGTGATGCTGAAGCCATCATGATGTGGCAGCACAGCACACTACTCACATGTCTGTGGTGATGCTGGTATAAACAAACCTACTGTCTGCCTGTCTCAAAAAAGTATAGCACATACAATTCTGTTTAGTACATAATAATAGATAATGATAATAAACGACTATGATAGTGGTTTATTTACTATACTACACTTTAAAATTTTATTTTAGAGTGCACTCCTTCTACTTATATAAATGTTAACTGTAAAACAGCCTCAGGCAGGTCCTTCGGGAGGTATTCCAGAAGAAGCCATTTTATCATAGGAGATGACAGCTCCATGTGGGTTATGGCCCCTGAAAATTTCCAGCAGGACAAGATGTGGAGGTGGAAGACAGTGATATTGATGATCCTGACCCTGTGTAGGCCTAGGCTAATGTGTGTTTTGTGTCTTCATTTTTAACAAAAAAGCTTAAAAAGAAAAATTAAATAGAAAACGTTTATAGAATAAGGATATAAAGAAAATATTTTTGTACAGCTATACAATATATTTGTGTTTTTAGCTAAGTGCTATTACAAAAGAGTTAAAAAGATTTTTAAAATTAAATGTTTATAAAGTAGAAAAAGTTACAGTAATCTAAGGTTAATTAGAAAGAAAGACACATTTTTAAATGTAATGTAGTCTACATGTACAGTGTTTATAAAGTCTTCAGTAGTGAATAGTAGAGTCCTAGGCCTTCACATTCACTCACTACTCACTGACACCCAGCATAATTTCCAGTCCTGCAAGCTCCATTCATGGTAAGGACTCTATATAGGTATGCCATTTTTTTCTTTTATGCTGTATTTTTATGGTTTTTTTTTCTATGTCTGGATACTTAAACACTTACCATTGTGTTACAATTGCCTACAGTATTCAGTACATTAATAGGCTGTACAAGTTTGTAGCCTAGGAGCAATAGGCTACACCATACAGCCTATATGTATAGAAGGCTCTACCCTATAGGTTTGTGTAAGTACACTGTATGATGTTCACACAATGACAAAATTGCTTCACAACACATTTCTCAGACTGTACTCGCATTGTTAAGCAATGCGTGACTGTATATTTAATTGATCCAATAAATGCAAATCATCAATATCTACATAGTGTTTGTCAGCTTTGGTGCTAGAAAAGTCATTTTTTTTTTCTTCAAAGACCTTCGGGAAACTGAGCTCATTTTAACAAACAAAACTGATGCTATGTTAATTTGAGCAGCCTAGATGGGATTAGGAAGCATCCTGACCAAATCAGTCAGTTATTCTAGCTTAGGCTTTCCAACATCTGCCTTTCCAAAAGAGATTCTGATTCAATTAATATAAATTAATACAAAATGCATCTGATTTGTTATTAGAGGAATTTGTCTTCTCTGAAGTAAACTCCACCATCTTCCTGACAGGTGCATGATCTGAAAGACCTGGGAGCGGTTGCACATTTCTCATGATTGGCTAACTACACCCAGGAACCAAATAAACATCAAAGTTTCTGTTCCAACAGTCCTTTCACAAATAGGCTACTTTTGCTTCAAGGTATATCCTTTGGTAGTGTCTACGTGCTACAAGAATGAGTGAGTCTTGGGGTTACAGAATATTATAGTTGGAAGGGACCTTGGAGATAATATTTTTAGCACTTCTACACCTTCCTCTCCCTAAATTCTTATTTTATAAGTGAGAAAGTGCTCAAAATATCACATTTTTTTCCCCTGATATTAAAAGCAGAATCGAGACCTGGCATAAGACATTCCCTAGAAAACATTTTATTTAAAAGTGTGGTCCAACCAGAATGAATGCATGTTATACCTTACAGAATAATTCTTGCACATGTGGCTTATATATTTGCAATTGAATTTTAAAAATTACTCTGCTGTAATCTCAGCACTTAGTGAGGTCGAGATATGAGGATCCCTTGAGCCCAGGAATTTGAGACAAGCCTGGCAATATAGTGAGACCCCCTTTTTTTTTTTTTAAGTTAGTTGGGGGCCGGGCGCGGTGGCTCGCTCCTGTAATCCCAATACTTTGGGAGACCAAGGCGGGCGGATCACGAGGTCAGGAGACGAGACCATCCTGGCTAACACGGTGAAACCCTGTCTGTACTAAAAATACAAAAAATTAGCCGGGCGTGGTGGCGGGCGCCTATAGTCCCAGCTACTCGGGAGACTCAGGCAGGACAATGGCATGAACCCGGGAGGCGGAGCTTGCAGTGAGCCGAGATCGCGCCACTGCACTCCAGCCTGGACAGAGTGAGACTCCATCTCAAAAAAAAAAAAAAAAAAAAAGTTAGTTGGGTGTGTTGGTTGCACACTTGTGGTCCCTGCTACTCAGGAGGCTGAGGAGGGAGGATTGCTTGAGCCAGGGAGGTCGAGGCTACAGTGAGCTGTGATTGCTCCATGGCACAGATTGTCTCTCCCTCTCTCTCTCACACACACACACATAGAAAATCACTGCACATATTCTCTTTCTCTAAATAGTTAAGTTTTATGTATTCTTGAAGCATAAAATGTGTCCCTTTAAATGGATTCTCCCATTTCTTTTAAATTTCCTAAAATAAAAAAGATTCCCACTATGTATGGACTTCTTTGTCAGTTCCTGCCACTGCACTCCCAGCTGTGGCTACTGAAGAGCTCCCAGCAGATTGCTCAGCTTTGCCTAATGCCTGAATCATTAAGATTCAGGCCCGGTGGTATATTGGAAACTAATTCTCCACCAGCAGGAATAAGAAAATTAGTCTGTAGCCCCATGCCAGGTGTCTCTTCTCCCAAGGACTACATCAGCTTCAAGCTAAGCTTTCTTTCTCTAACCACCCTCCCCCTTCTTCCCTCTGCATTTCTATTCCATTCTTCTGAGCTGCCTGCCCTCCTGGGCCCCTTGTAATAAACCTCAACCACAAGGTAAGTTTTCTAGGGCTCTCCCCTCCTTCCTGCTCCCGCAGGTCTCTTCCTCCAGGGTCTAGTTCCTACTCTTTGCATCCTCGGCTACCGGCTGCGGCTCTGCTTTAATCCCCGTGGAACTCCCTGACAGCATGGCTCAGTTCCCTCACCTAATGTCAGATACTAAACCAATCCCTGTTTGACCTTTCTTGCTTTTCTTCCTTTAAAGCAGACCTTTTGGAAACCAGATCTAGCCTGGAGGATTCACTGTGTTACATTAGATCTAGCGATTTTAACTTTACACCCTCTTCCCTTTGAGTTATGACATCTACCCTAGGATTATTCTTTCTAGCCTTTATTTTATTGTTTCCAGATAGCTTCCTTCTTTCCACTATTATGCTGCAGGGCAAAACTCGGGCTAGAGTTATGCAAAGTATCAGATTCTAGCAGTTTTTCAGAAGCAGAATAAGAAACACTTGTTTGTATTATAATATAGTATCTCATTTCAGTTATCCCTAGGAGTCTTTCTGCAAGGTTATTATACTTTTATTATCTTTGATGGCTGCCTTACCAAGAAACATTAAACATCTGTCTAATTTTAAACATCTAGTTTAAAAGGCACTATCAAAACTTTGGCTATGGTATAGAGGCCCATAAAGATGAGAAAAGAGATTCTAATATTGTGAGTTCTGTTTACGCAGAAAATCACGGATAAGCTAGTTGTGTAAGAATAGAAACCCATGCCATATAGTGCCATATAGCATTATTGACTGTTTTTTTTTGCCTTCATATATTTTTGCTTTTTTGATGCTAAGAAGAAACCTACTGTATAAAGACAGAGCTATTTAGGTACAGAAATCTTTACTATCAGGAATGTGTACACTAGAACACACCCTGGCCCCATATATTAGCCTGCAGAGACTTCATCTATATTAGGCTGCAGCAAAAAAAATGTGTTTATATAGCCATCTTGAAAATTGTCAGACAATATATCACTCGAAGGCTGTCATATAAAGTAAAACATTAAGAAGAATATTTATGGGGTTTTTGTGCTGTCCTAGCTTTACAATTCCAATACATCATTCCTCAGCATGTACCCCTCTTTCCTTTCTGCCTTTGTAAAAGTTGTACAGCTTAATAGATGGTTAGAACTTGGGAAGTCACAAGCCTGATGGAATCTTGAACTGGATGGTGGTGATTAAATTGCCAACCTGCGTGATGTTTCTCCCTAGCCTTTGAGCACCAAACTGACATTCACCCTGTGTACACTTTGCACACAACTTGCAGGAAATTAAAACTAGTTTGGTAAGGGAAAATGACTACATAATTTTAAAAGGCTTTCTAATTCCCAAGTAATACCACAAAGCTGCAAATTAAAAACATATCAAGTAGTAGCCATCTCTTTGACAAGGTACTGACACCGAGCAGTTAGACACATCACACTAGCAGTTTGGGTTTAGGAAGTGCTACTAAGTAAGTACCTTATCTTATAGCAGCTGGAAAGTTCTCCTGCCCTTTCTGGGGCTTTTCAGGCCTGTGTTGATTCTGGTGTCAGGCTCCATACTGCCCTTGGTGAATGGTAAGAAGTCTAAGTAAAAGTCAGTAGCTTTCATTCTAGCAGACACTACAGAAAAGGAGTATATGAAATAGTGAATAAGATTCTATACGTGATTTCTCTTTTTCTTTCCTAGGTGTGATTTCTAACAATCCATCTATGTGGGCAACATTGTGGACTTACCATTCAAAGGCACCTTTATTGTGTTTTAATTTTTAACTTGGATACATTGTACAGTGCTGCTGGGTACTGAGTGAGCCCCAGATACTAATGAATTCAGAACTTAGAAGTAAAAGGAAAGGAAACGGAGTTGGGTTTTGAGTGCCATTAATATTCAGTTCAGAACTTTCACAGTGGGGACCCCTGACCAACATGACAGGCAGATATGAGGGGCAGCTATGAATTCAGGAGGGGAGGGTGCTATCCAGGTCCCTACCTTCATTTATATTTCACCTCTGTACATTAGGCCTTGCAAAAGGGAAAATGACAAGAACCTCTAGGCTTTTATTTTCTTATTCTGCTTCCCTATTTAGTTCTTCATTTATACAGAGATAGGAATGGATGTCCTCTTGTTTGAAAATCTCATATCTTCTTTTCAGGGTTCCTAGGATAGCAGATACAGAATTTAAAACAAAACAAAACAAAACATACCAAAAGACTAAAGGAAAGAAAGAGATTAATTCCATAGGTAAAAGTTAGTCAAATATGACACAAATATTCTCTTTCTATTTTACTCTATTGTTTAAGGAAGCCACACCTAATTATATAGCATTTTTCTATAATGTTATAAACATTGTGCAATCCAAGCTATAGATTTGCAATAGGGACATAGTCTGACTAATCTGTAATTCAGTATAGTGAGCATCGTCCACATTGACATGACTCTGCATGATAATTGTTTCTATATTTTTAAATGCCAGTTAATGTGCTTACTTGCTAAGTTAAAACAAGTTCCTTGGATTTTCAAATTTTTCCTAACTAAAGGTTTTTTTTTAAGTGTCATGTGTTTCAATCCAAATTTACAGCTTGAGCTAAGCTTCTTTAGATCAAATTGCAAATTTATGTGAGCATTAATATAAAATTTATCAACATTTACCTTAAAAAACAAATTGGCACATGTTTTGCACATGTAATATAAAAGTTAAAATAATCTGGGTTTTCATGCATTTACTGATTTGTATATTACCCACAAATGTCACAAAAATGGAAAGGGGGGTATGTTATGTAGGAAGAGAGCTAAAGATAAAAGGTCATAATTCAGGGCCTCCCAATCCATTTGTGATCTCACTGAAATTATTTGACTTTCTCACTTTAAGTATTTGTAAAATAGAGCTCTAATAACAATCAGTACTAGTACTCCTGAATAATTATAGAAAATTATATGAAGAACCTGGTTAATGTATAGCTCCAAATATTTCATAACACTGTCCTCACTGACTCTTCAACTGCTCTATGAGGTTCTTGAAGACAAACATCATGGCTATATAGTCCCTGCACCTAGCGTAGTGATTGGCATACAGTAGTCACTTGATGAGAATTATGGGATTAATGAATGAAAGCTCATTGGCTTTGTAGTCACAACTAAGATCAGAAATTTTTTTATACTATATGTGATCCAAGTGACCTTGAGTAAGTTACTGAACCTCATTATACATTGGTTTTAGCATCAAGAAAAAAAAGAGGACCCCCATACTTCTTATGGTAATAGTGAACTTTAAATAAAATAATTTATATTAAAAGAGATGGCACATTTTCAGGGCTCAAAAACCCACTCCCCTCCTTTACATCACTATCATACAGATTGGAATTCAAGTCTTATGTGAGAAAAACTTGCTAGTGCATGGCTCTTTGATCTTTCCAGTAAACAGTCTTTCTCTCTTTCTATGTAAAAGTATGAAGAGAATTTCCCTGGGAACAGGAAATGTCAATAGTCAGAAAAGGAAGAGGGAAGAACAAAAAAAAAAAAAAATGTTGACTTGGCCTTTGGAAATTCCATAAATCGTGAAAGGTGCTGGCTTTCCTACCACTGATAAACATATCCATGCAAGACAAAGTCGAGAAGCAGCTGTCTGTCCCTGCACTGCTCTGCCTCTTCCACACTACCAGTTCTCTGACTTTATTGGTCAGGTCCTTGACTTCCCCAAGGAACTGCAGGCTACTTCCAGTATACCTTGCTGGGGCTTCCTGCTTAGCCCTTTCTGTTTCCTATTTTCTTTGAAAACCCTTATTAAACACCATCCAATACTTCAGGCCTCTACTCTTCTTTCCTAATCTGATAAATTGATCTCTGCTAGGGAAGTTTTAAAGCAGACTATGATTTAATCAAATTAAGTTTCTGTTTTGATGTTACTGTTTGTAGAGAACATGCCAAACTTTTGATGAATGTTTTTGGCTGGTGCTTCTCAGGTCACATAAAACTATAGATTTTGTGCTTCCTTGTGTTGACACTTGAATCTTGACAGTGGTTGGTGGGAGCTGTTTGGGCCTTTGAAAAGCTTAAAAAACTCTCTTTCTCATTCAAAATGAAAATAACTTTATTCACTTTTTTCTGTTCATTAAAGCAATCTACACACATACTATATTAATGGGGATTAGGTATAGAGGAAAAAAAGTATAATAATCTTTTATAAGACCCTTCTCTACTTTTAACATTTTGGAATATATATATTTTAGTATTTTTCTCTGCTAATGTAGAAGAAAACTGGGTCATATCATATTTTACTCTCCTTTTTCAGTAAAAAATATGGAGAGATTTTAATGTCAATGAAGATAAATCTATGTGATCATTTGTAATGGCTACATAGAATTCTATTGCCTGTTGTCTTACGTTGTTCAGGTTATTGTAACAATATCTCATAAACTGGGTAGTTTATAAACAGTAGAAGTGTAGTTCTCACAATTCCGAATCCTGCAAAGTCCAAGATGAAGGCATTGGCAGATTCAGTGTCCGGTGAGATCTTGCTTTCTGGTTCATAGACAGTACTTTCTTGCTGTGTCCTCACATGGGAGGTGGTGGGAAGGCATGAGGGGTCTCTTGCCTTTTTTTATAAGGACTATAATCCCTTTCATGACTGCTCCCTTCCCATGACCTAATCATCTCCCAAATGCCTCATCTCTTAATACAATCACCTTTGGGGTTTGAATTTCAACATACGAATTTTGAAGAGACAAACATTCTCTTCTTTTCCTAGAAGAATTTAGAGAGTTTTTAAAGCTTTTCAAAGGCCCAAACAGACCATAGTAGATATTATTATCATTACTTGTTTAACCATTTCCTTACTAAAGAATATTGTGGTTGTTTTCAGTTTTTTGTTCTTGTAAATCACACCTATGGACTTTGTTAAAAATACAACTTTGATGTTAATCTGATTGTACTCTGATATATAATTTTGAAATACATTCTTAGTGATTTGTTGAATCTAACAGAATATATTTTTAGATTTATGATTTATTTTACCAGATCGTGCTTTCAAATGTTTGAACCATTTATCCTTTCCACTAAGAGAATGCCCAATGGATCTAATCATGAATACACACACACACACACACACACACACACACACACACACACTAGGTAATAACCAAAACACCTTTTGGTGTTTATAAAATGCTTTTACATTTATTGAAGCATTTGACCCTTATTGCTATCACTTGAAGTAGGTAGAGAAGGTAATAGCCGGGTTTTATAGTTGACTAAACTAAGGCAACTTAGTTTGTTGACTTCCTTGATAGTCTAACGATTGTTGCTTCCAGGATACTTTCATTATCATCTCTTCATGGAGTGCCTTAGTCTGTTTTGTGAAGCTATAACAAAACACCTGAGATAAGGTAGATTATTAAGAAAAAAACTTTATTTCCTATAGTTCTGGAGGCTGGAAAGTCCAAGATCAAGGAGCCTTCTTGCTGCATCATCAAGAGCAAGTGAGAGAGGAAGAAAGAGAGGAAAAGGGGGCCAAACTTTTTATTTTATAACAAACCCACTTCCAAAATAATGGTATTAATCCATTAACTCTGCCCTCATGGCATAATCACCTCTCATTAGGCCCCACCTCCCAACACTGTTGCTTTGGGGGTTACATTTCTGACACATTCAAACCATAGCATGGAGGTAAGATAATATTTTATTATATTTATAGTGTAGATCCAATATTTTAAAAATTCATGGTCTCTGCTAAAAGAAAATAGCTGGTGCCAATTGGCTTTTAATTTGCATATAATTTTAATCTAGCCCCTTGGATTTCACTATGTCCAGGAATCCTTTTAGCCTCTCATTTTAAAAAGCTACCTTTTTGGGTAAAAGTAACACCAAATCACTACGGCTGGCACTGATAAGATACTTTATTACTGGGAAAGAATAACTAAACTCCACAGTGCCACTCTGCCTCTGAGACCCACCTGCCCTGTGGATTTTCCTACTAATAATGCTTCCATTTCAATAATGCCCACGAGGCTTGATTTCTCTTAATACATTGGTCCTAGCCTTTCATTTAATATCTATAGCATAGCTGAGACAAGTCTGTAATATATAACCAACACACTACTAACAAAAATCAACAGAAGATGCATGTCATGTTTCTGTTGTGTGCTGTATAGGCACTTGTGAATCTAATGTAAATCATAGATTACCTTAATGATTAAACTACACATAAACACTCATGCAAAACATTTTGTGTATTAATAAAATTCATGAACTCCCTAGAGTCCATACATGGACTGTAAATATCAATCTGAAATTCTTTGCTGAGATAAATCTGATTTGAAAACCTGTATCTGACTCTCTTAGCTTATTGATTTATTTATTCAAAATATTTGTTCCTTCTTGAATCTTTCTGTATCTTAGTAGGCAGTACCCAGTACTACATCCCTATACACGGAGACACCCTCCAACACAGAGGCCAACCTTATCATTACGTAACTGCATGTCCCTTTCCCAACAGTTTACAGTTTCCTTCCTGACCTCACCTATCAACCAGTGCCCTGGTTCTACAAAACATCAGAAAAATAGCTACGTGTCTATACAACATGACCATCATAGCACACATACAATAAAAAGAGATAAACCCATACAGAGCTTAGGTGGGAAAGACCTTCCATTTCTACTCTTGTTTTCTGTTTCCTTCTACCTTTTTCTAGTGTTCGATATAGTTGCCTTTTTGTTTGCCGAAAGAGTTTAAAGTTCTATATTATTTTGCAGTCTAAGAGATTCTATAACTTGAAAAACTCTTTTTCCCTTTTTCATAAGACAGTTGCTAGGAGACACTGGCTAAACAACTAGAAATCAATAAACCTGTGGTCTAATGTTCCCTGGTAGTAGAGGTGTAGTTTATCCTTTGCAGCAGAGAATATACTAGAGAGAACTGAGCAATCTACTCTGAGACAAGATCTTCTAGTTCTTAGCAAAGGATAAGAAAGAATGAGAGAAAACAGAATTACAAACATTATTTTCTGAAAAATAGAAATTCTGAGATGATATTAAAAACTGGAATTTGATGCAGAACTTGAGAGTTGATATTGAAAGAGAGAAATGGTTTTCTGCAAAACCAAGTAAAAAAAATATAAGGGGATGAATACGGTTTTCAGTTTAGGACATTTTATCAAAATGCTGTGTAGTAGTCCAAATTGCAGTGATGTAAAAGAATAAATGCCTCTGTCTCAACTGGTAATTTACTAGAGCAGTTATCCTTAATTTTCCCATTTTTAAGCCCAACGAAAATTTGCTCATCTCCCCACTTACCACTCCCTGCCTTAAAAAAACTATTTAGTGGGGCTTGGCCTGTAGGTTCCCCTGGTAGTGCTCAGTAATTCCAGGGCTAAGCTAAAGTAGGGCTCTACCTTCATTGTGTGATTCGAGGAGCAATAAAAGGACTATATATACTACTTCTATTGCTTTTTCGTCATTGGTCACTCATGCTGCCTATGACTGAGTTTTCTTAATTATTAATTTATTTCCTTGTCTATTAAAAGACTGACATGTGAAGTGCATGCTATTTGGAAGGAAGGAAGGAGGGAATAAAGAAGGGAGAGGGAGGGAGGAAGGAAGGAAGGAAAAGACGGAAGGAAAAGACTCACTCTGTTGAAGGATAATCAGTTGTATCAATACATACTTCAGAGGAATTAATTGCTGCAGTCTGAGTGGGGGACTGAGCAGGATGAATATTTGGGAAAGAGTTGAGACCTTGAGATGGGAAATAGGTGACTTACTTCAGCAATTTTACCAGAGGTCAATCAGGCCAGATCTCTAAGGATTACATGAACTCTGAGAAGCAAAAAAGGAAATTAAAATATCCATTTGGGGAGGCCAATTTGGGCTGTTCACTTATTTCAGGGAAGAATTAGTGTTCTGTAGCTCTGGTTTCCACAGGCACATTTCATCTCAGTGGCCCCTAGATACTAGTGTTTTTAAAACCTTATGCTTTTTTCAGCAGTTTAGTTTCTTGAACAACACCTTTTCCAAATCTGTACCATAGAAAGTCCTACCACCCTACAATTAATAATGACCAAAGCATTTTTCACCATCATCTCAGTACAAAGGGTGACTGCTTTGTCTTTTTAGTGTACGTTCAGTAACAGCTCATAAAAGCCTTGGCTTGCTGCCCCCCAGGTGACCTCAAAACCAGGCCTTACTTAGCCCTCAGCTCCAGGAAATCTTCATACTGCTCTCTAGGGTTAGGTGACTGAATGAAGGGCTAAGTGTTCTAACCTTGGGAGAAAGCTGGACTCTAGTTGTGACTATGCTCTAACATTTTAACTTTGACAGTTATTTCCCCTATTTGAGACATAGTTGCTTCATCTGTATACAAAGAAGATTCATTTATCCTTATTAAGCAGTAGCTTCATAAAAACCTACTTTGCATGGGGCACGGTGAGCCTAGATAATTCTTAACTCCCTTTTTGAACTATAATCCTCCAGCTTTGTTTTTCAGCCCCAGCCCAGGGCAGGACTCATCATTGGGTACAATTTGCTAAATATTTTCATGATATGGTCTCTGTATCCAGTCAAAAGACTTTTTCTTACCCAGTGAGTATTACAGGCTCTATATACGATCATCTCAGACACTGAATTTTTCTCTATGTGATTTCCAGTTTCCCATGATTATGACTACCATGCCCCTGCCTCTTTCCCCCTGCTTATTAGTTGCTGCTAGAAGCTCTATTTCTTGTTGTCCTTTCTCTGCTTAAACAAACACTTTGATCTGGCCCTGGGTCCTGAGTTCCTGAGATCTGCATCCTGTTTTCTCTGTACACTGGTCAGAGTCTTGATTCCTGAATGACCACCTTTCCAATAATCCACCCAACCTCACTTCTATCGCCCAGATTGGCTCCACTGAACATAGTTGATGCTGACTTTCCCTCAACAGAATGGTGCTGTCACATTCCAATCCATGTTCTGACAGAACTGTGATTAAATACACCAACCAAAAAATAGGATATGTTTCTGGCAAATCTTCAGGCAAATATAGCATATTTGTTTTGTTGTTGTTGTTTTTGTTGTTGCTTGTCTAAGTAGAAATGGTAAACAAGTACTTCCTATTCTAAGTGGTAACAAACCAAAGGGGAACTAAGTGCTGCATTTCTGTTGTTTCATTATCCCCTTTTCTGTTTCTCTCTATTTTTGATTCTGTGTCAACTATTTATCTGTGTATTGTCCTTTTTCCTCCAAAGCACTGGCTCTCTTTGGAGCTTTTGTTTTAGAAACATGCACACATATATATGCAATTAAATGCAGGCTTTGACTTTTCGCCTGGGAAACTGGAAGGATAAGGTGAGCTAAGCTTTTAATTACAAGTACCCATTCTGGGAGGCAGGGAGTTTGAGCTTCTGACAGCTACCACTGCTCAGCCTAATCCCATCTTTCAGGGAAGAAAAAGAAAAAGCCCACATGTATCTATCTACAAAAATGTTGACTTAATATATTTGACATTTTAAAAAATATTTGCTAAAGTAAATACTGCTTTAAAACCAGCAAAAATATTATTGTTGTTGTTAAATTGAAGGGTTTATGTAGCTATGATTCTTTGATTCCTCTTAGGTTATTCTATCTCTGTTTTGTTTAAAGTTGATTCTTGATACACAGAAATTCTAGTATTCTGCACTTTTATAACTGCTTTCATCCAGAATCCCAAATCTCTTTACAAATACTAATTACTGTGGTCTAATGTCACTGGAAATTGTTTAATATGCTCCAAAGAGGTTAAACACTTTAAATCCCAATTTACAAATTAAAAAATAGAATGTGGAAAAGCTAAGTTGCATTTGGGGATTTAAATAGGGTTTTGGTTGAAACAACTGGAAATGACAGCTGTCAACCCAGTCCCCTGGTCCTTGAACTCATTTGATATCCTACACTTCTTGAATTATTATACATATAGAAAGGCATGTTGCCATTGTGAATTCAGACACTGAAGATCTCTTTTCCTTCAAATAATACATAACACCTAAAAGTATTACTGTAGAGTAGTGGCATCATCCCATGTCAAAATTTAAAATATTTTATTTCTTCTAGAAGTCATTTTTTAAAACCCAGGATTGTAATAAGTGAAATTATCTCTCCCCTTTTCAGCAATTTCTAGCTATCCACCAACCAGATTAAGTTTTGTAAATATTAAAAAAGATACACATATATATTTTATGCATAGATATGTTTATGTGCATGCATGCATATACCTATATATCACATACATATATATACACACACAGAATTAAACAAAAATTACTTCCATGTAAGATCTTGATATAATGACCAAACAGATGAAAGTCTCTTGTGTTTCATGCAAATATGCATCAATATATTTCTAGTATTACCTTCTTTTCTCTAATGGCTTGTCTATATGTAGAGTTTTGTTGAAGCAGCAGGAAGCAAAATCTACACACATGAGCTCATAGTCTAACTTTATTTCTGTATTATTGTATTTTCTTCTCAAAAACTATTAAGCTAGAAAAAAAACCCACAAAAAACTATTGATCTAGAGTACCTCATTGGCCAACCTGCAAGTAGGCATCCATAGACTAGAAAGTATGTCTAATGAGTGAAGCTGATCTTAGTATAAATAACAGATGGTAATATGGTTTGGCTGTGTCCCCACCCAAAGTCTCATCTTGAATTATAATCCCCATAATCTCCATGTGTCAAGGGCAGGACCAGGTGGAGGTAATTGAATCATGGGGGCAGTTTTCCCAATGCTGTTCTCGTGATAGTGAGTCTCACGAGATCTGATGGTTTTCTAGGTGTCTGGCATTTACCCTGCTTGCACTTCCTTCTGCTGTCCTGTGAAGAAGGTGCCTTTCTTCCCCTTTGCTTTCTGCTATGATTATAAGTTTCCTGAGACCTTCTTAGCTATGTGGAACTGTTAGTTAATTAAACCTCTTTCCTTTATAAATTACCTGATCTTGGGTATTTCCTTACAGCAATGTGAGCACAGACTGGTCAGAAGTGTATTAGAACTTTCATAGGCATGAGGTAAATAGATATGACATCAGGCGATATTAGTTGATATTTGGAGAGTGAGGGTAACAATTTGCAACATATGTTATGCTGTGTATTGATAGGGAAATTAAAAGACTAACATTGGCACAAATGACTTTTTATTGGGGTTGCAAAGAGACCTTGCCAATATAACAAGCAAGTGTTGCATCATTTCCTCCTGAGCTCCGTCCAAAATATTGGACCCTTGGTGTCTGAATCCAAGGAACATGTTTTCCTACCTGAATGTGAATCAGTGTATTTAGATGACTCATTTGGAAATAGGGATGTTATATAGAAGAGATATTTGTTGGTGAATGGGTGAGAAGCCAATAAAATATTTTATTTAGCTACCAGAAACTCTTTGTGCATGTCGAATTATTGTAGCAATTTTGCTCCTATTTACAACCCCCTTTATTTATAATTTCTCTTCTGTATTTTAAAATCCTCCCAAGTATTCCCCAGCATAAAGTGATGATTATAATCTAGTATCTCTCTACCAACAATAATTCCCCTTAAAACTTATTTTTGATTGTTTATCTTGAATTTTATGATCTCAAATTACCCATGTGAAGTGACATTCCCTAAAGTGAACCAGTTCCTCCCACAATCCAATGTTAGAAAGACTCTAAAAGTTTTGCTCCAATTCCCCACGAGGTTTTGTCACATAATTATAGACAAAGATGCCCCCAGACCTGGAACCTGTAGGCTCCTGGATTCAGGTTTCTTCAATTCTATCTGATAACTGGATAATTTGGATGTAGATAATATATGAGGATTAAGGTGAGTTTGAGCTATATAATATTTATATCTGTATTTATATACCCACATCTGTATGTGGTTATCTGTATTACATGAGTTAATTGAAATGAATCACATAAAAGAGTTCCTAGATCATGCTAATTGCTCAATAAGTGTTAGCTGTGGCTGCTGTTGTTCTTACTGTTGTTTCATGTGTTGTTTTGGTTGTAGGTGTTATATGACATAATTACCTTCTAGGGAAGTATGAACTAAGATTTGAAGAAAGACAGGCGTCTTCATAGTTAGAAACTCTTAGATTGGAACATCGCATACCAAAAGTCATTCTAAGAAACTCTTCCCCAAACAAGAGTGCTTTACCTCACTAAGGGCTGGCATCTTTCACCCCAGAGTGCTCTTCTGTGATTGACAGCCCTATTTCTGATGCTGTCTCTGGGGAAGGAGCTGAAAGCCATTTAGATTGTGGGCCATTGTGTCAGACCTTCTATTCATCCATGAACAAGCACTCTTTATGGAGGATGGGTTTTTGGTCTGGCCAGGTATTAGCAGGATGCATAGAGTAAGCTACAAGAAGACATTTCAGTGACCCTAGGCTTTTCTTTTGGCTTGATGAAGCCCAAAGAAATTTCACAAGCTGGCCTTGGAGATTCTGGTACTGCTTCCTATTGTCGATCCACATGAGAGAAGGCTTATACCTGGAGTTAACCAGCGTTCTGATGGGTGTAATTAAAAAAGTGAAATTATGTCTCGCTTGGAACTAAGCTTTGTACCAGAATAAATCCTGAGTCATACTCCATAGCCCAGGGTTATTATCTATTATCACACACGTGAGTATCCTCTCCATCTTGTCACTGCCTATGCATCATCTTCTCTAATTTTTCTGCAGTTTATCACTTCAGTCTCCAGGTTTATGCAGTTTATCCTACCTGTTCCCATCATCATTTATCCTAAGAGCATGTACTATTAACAATCAGATTACATCTCCCAAATTCCTCAAAACTCCACAAATTAATAGTGTTGCATGGCTGTTTAGATCATGGGCTTTGAAATCTTTCTGACTTGGCTTTATATCCTTTTACTAACTTGCTGATTGGATGAATTTGGGCAGTTATTTAACCTCTTTGATTCTTCCTTTCATTGTTCATAAAATGGTGATATTGATAACTGAATGTAAAGAGTTGCTGTGAGGATTAAAAAATAATGGTATATGTTATTTTGTTTTGACCATAAATATTTGATTAATAATGAGGCACCTCTTTGGATTGTATGTAAAATAATATTATCAATAATTACCCCATTCCATATACAATCAATTTTGAAGTATACAATGGATTTTCACATCTTTTATATCATTTTGTCTTCAGAAAATATTCACCTGGTAGATTTATATTATCTCCACATTTTCAAATAAAAATTAAGTATAATAAAGACTAGGTAACTGCCTCATTCTCATTCTAATTTGACTTGCTGAAGCGGAACTCAAACCCAGATAATCTCACTTCAAGTTCAGAGTTCTTTCTAATCTTTTCACTGCTATTCTTACTGCTAGTCACATAGGAGGTATTAAGACTATTTTGCTTGCATAATTTATGAATGAGAAAATACTTTAAAGGGGAGGTGTTAAATAAACATTTTACTAAGTGAAGACCAGAACAGAGAAGTCTATATTTCATACGTCAGCACCAGGCGGAGACCCTCAGAAGGGATATATAAATCTAGAATCCATTGAGAGAAGTGGCATTTAGGGGAAGGAGAGGTTACAGATGTCTTGGAATGGAAATCCTTCACCAAGCTTGAAGCAGAAGATGCTGACCAGCAAATTCTGAAAATGTCATATTTCCTCTGGGAAAATTAAAATGTGAGCAGACAGATAATAAAGCAACAAATAACAAACAAACGAAAAGATCCCAATGGTATATGTAAGGTTCTTGGCACATAGCTAATAATTGATTAAATGAGGTGAATATGCAAAATACTTACTATAATATTTTGGCATTCATGAGCGTTCAGTGCATCTCAGTTATTACTAATGCTTCTTCTTCACCCTTTCTCCTTCCCTCAGTCCCTTCTTCTAGCTCTCCCTCCCTTTTCTAGGCTCTTTGGGATAGAATAATTTATGATCTCTGACTTCCTGATGCTGGGAGTGGGAAGGAGTCTGAGGTGAGAAACGAGTCAAGAGGTGGAAAGATGAGAAATATAAAGAAAGTATTGTGATAATTCTTAGTAGGGAAAAATTGATTCTGACTAGGGAGTGGAGTGTCAAAGAAGGCTTCACATAGAAGGTATTATTTGAACTGGCTCTTGAATGACTAAAACTGATCGCTTAATAATAAAGAAAAAGGAATGAAAGAAAGCCAGGAAATGTGATCACAGTCAAACATATTTGACCCGCTATAACTTGTCAGGTAATGAGAGCAAGGTGAGCAAAACAGCAACTGTGTCTTGAGACTCTAAGAGAAGCATTTGTTCAGAATAATTGGATTAAGTATTATTTTACCGTTTTTCTCTTGATTCCAGAAAAGACCTCAAAGTGATTAAGAAGAGGACATGGAGTTCAGTTCTTATTTTTGTTGTTTTAAGGCATTTATACAATCTGTAGTATAATAGATTTTGCTCTCAAGAGGCAAATTTTTCTAAGTCTGAGATAAAGGGGTACTTTGTGGCTTTATTTTGGAGGCACCCCACCCACCAACCCGTATCACATAAAACACCTATCTATATTGAATACATTTGTTTAGTCATAAATAAAAATTACAATGAAAGTGTAAGCATTCCTCTAAATACCAACCATGATTAACCGGTAGTTGTTTTGGTTTTTTTGAAACATTTTAGAAAAATCCTTCTTGACATGCACTTGCTTGTGCTTACATACATATCATTTCAAAGAGCATTACAAGAGCCAGAACAGTTGGCATTAGACTTAGAGGAGAGATTAGCAAGACTCCATTCCAGGAAAATCGTTATAGTGATCACTTGTCACTTGTCATTACATATACATCTTATTGGTCTTCTTGCTTCAGTTTCAGTTTAGACTTAACTTACACTTGAGAAATCACTCTTTATCGAGTTCTCTTCTTCTAGAATTCACTGGATTCATCTGACTAGCTGCCAATTTATGCTGACTCTTCTGTTACCCACATTTAGGCTCTCTTTCATTCTCTTCCTTAAAGCCAAAAGAAATATATTTGTTTTGTATTTGTGTATGAGAATCAATAGCACACACATATGATATTGTGTTTAACAGGATGCCTCAAATGAAGCAAAACATAAACAAGATTCTCGGGACAGCCCAGATTGAGTAAAATATTGTTGGAATCTTCCTAAAGATGTTTGTGTTTGTAGAATGTTTAGAAATTTCCTAATCAATCATGGCAGAAATCCATTCTTCTCCAAGTGTATACTGAATTTTGGGATAAAAGTCTAACCTCGATAATATCTTAGGGAATGAATGTCCTATATTAATCAAGGTTCTCCAGAGAAACAGAAATATATAGGATAAATATATATATATTTAATATTTATATATATATTTATATAAATTTATTATGAGGGATTGGCTTATGCAATTATAGAGGCTGAGAAGTCCCATGGTCCGCTCTCTCCAGGCTCTGGAGGCTAGGAGGGTGGTGGTGTAGCTCCAGTCCAAGCCTGAAGGCCTGATAACCAGAAGGGCCAATGATGTAAGTCACAATATAGGAAGTGGGGAGGGGCTCAAGAAGAGAAAATTCACTTTTACTTCATCTTTTTGTTCTGTGTGGGCTCTGAATGAACTGGATGATCTTGGTGAGTCTGATATGTTTCACTCCATCTACTGATTCAAATGCTAATCTCTCCTGGAAACACTCTCACAGCCACACCCAGAAATAATGTTTTACCAGCTATCTGGACATCCTTAGCTTAGTCAAGCTGACACATAAAATTAATCATCACATGTCCTATTTCTTTTTCAATGATATTTCCTTGCTCCATCTTATTTATATCTTTTTAAAAATATGTATTGTTGCTATGACCTAAAAACAATCTCTCTCTTTGCTATTATTTACTAGCTCCTCTCCCATGTGACTATATGACCGCCTTCAATGTACACATTCATCCCTTATTGGAACTTTGGCCTTTAAATTAGCTATAGTAGGAAAAAAAAAAAAAAAACCTCTATATTCAGCACAAAGCTCTATGTTGAATATATAATGAGATGTCAGTGCCCATTGAATAAATAAATGAGTGAATGAATGAAAATAGCCAGGGATGCCAGATAAAAGATAAAGTAGAATTGTAGTAGATTATCTACTCTTGCTATATCTTTTATTCACACTATAGAGTAATAACACTTGTTGGGGTGCATTTCTATGAGAAAACTGCAAAAATATTTGGACTAATGCATTAATAAGTTAGCTTACAGATGTAGGAAGAAACCCAGTATTTCAGACCAAAAATGGTTAAACTGAATGACCACTGAGTTTACTTTCAAAGTTGATACAGAATACGTCACATTGAAGCACAACTACCATTGCCTTCACTACTCGTTAGAAATATTTTATGCCCCAAATTTATAACTGGACTCTCTTTCACTTTGAGATACACCCCCAGTTCCTTAAGTACCTTCTTTGAGAAAGAACATATTCTTTCATAAATTTCTGCAATAAAAAGTGTTCTGCACTTTTTTGCAAAGTTGCCTATAATTCCATCTTTCAGTTAAGGAAATGTTCCCTATTGAAAAAATTAAGAGGGGTGGCATTAGCTTCCATTATCAGATCCTAATAGCTTAGCCTGGATCTATTCATCATAACCTGAGATTTCATTCTTACCAAGGAAGAAAGGAGACATAAACTTTAGTGGGTTGACATGTGAAAAAATAGATTAGGAGTAATATATCTAGGTACAAATGGGCCAGGGTGTTAGACTTAGAAGGTCTAACACTCTGGCAATGTAAACTCAGAGTTGATTAGTATAAGGGATGGGTGGATGGGTTTGGTGACCAGACAAGTAATGAAGAAACCAAAAATGGTGTTTTAAACAGAAAGGATGTGATAAGGATGCCCTTTTTGTTTAGGGCAGGACATAAATACTTTGGTGAGGTGAATTACACTTGTACTATACATATTAATAAGACAAATATGTTCTTACCTGCAATTGATAGCTTGTTGAAAATGAATAATATCTTTTTCTAGGCAGCAATTTCTACTGATTTACTATTAAGACAACATTCCTGAGTAAGCATGATTTGTATCCTACATGACAGATAATCTTTCCTTTTGGTCTGTAAGAATATACATAGAACTCGGAGAGGAACAAGCTAGCTATGTTGACTGGTGTTCTTCTGGCTAATGGAACACTTAATGCATCCATTCTTAATAGCCTTTATAATGAAAATTTGGTTAAAGAAGGAGTTTCAGCAGCTTTTGCTGTGAAGCTCTTTAAATCATGGATAAATGAAAAAGATATCAATGCAGTAGCTGCAAGTCTTCGGAAAGTCAGCATGGATAACAGACTGATGGAACTCTTTCCTGCCAATAAGCAAAGTGTTGAACACTTCACAAAATATTTTACTGAGGCAGGCTTGAAAGAGCTTTCAGAATATGTTCGGAATCAGCAAACCATCGGAGCTCGTAAGGAGCTCCAGAAAGAACTTCAAGAACAGATGTCCCGTGGTGATCCATTTAAGGATATAATTTTATATGTCAAGGAGGAGATGAAAAAAAACAACATCCCAGAGCCAGTTGTCATCGGAATAGTCTGGTCAAGTGTAATGAGCACTGTGGAATGGAACAAAAAAGAGGAGCTTGTAGCAGAGCAAGCCATCAAGCACTTGAAGCAATACAGCCCTCTACTTGCTGCCTTTACTACTCAAGGTCAGTCTGAGCTGACTCTGTTACTGAAGATTCAGGAGTATTGCTATGACAACATTCATTTCATGAAAGCCTTCCAGAAAATAGTGGTGCTTTTTTATAAAGCTGAAGTCCTGAGCGAGGAGCCCATTTTGAAGTGGTATAAAGATGCACATGTTGCAAAGGGGAAGAGTGTTTTCCTTGAGCAAATGAAAAAGTTTGTAGAATGGCTCAAAAATGCTGAAGAAGAATCTGAATCTGAAGCTGAAGAAGGTGACTGAATTTTGAAACTACACCCTCAGTAAAGCAAACAGGAGTTGTAGATAAAATGTCATGTCTCATGTGTCCTGGTTCTTACATCTTCCTACCTCCCTGTATCAAGCATGATATAAGGGCTTTCATGGCAAATTTTATTTTAACTGTTTCTATGGTTGCTGGAAATGTTGGGTTTAGTTTCTAAAACCATGTTTTAAGTAGCTACAGGAGCTATAGATTTGAATCTAATGTTGCATTAGTCTTTTCAGTTATCTTCTACCTCCTGTATTTTCTACTGTAATAATGTAATTTAAGGCCTTCCACAATGAACAGTTCACTTTATTCCCTGGGTTTTCTATAAACAGTTTTAAGGATATGATTTGGTTAAAAAATAATTTGTTATAAAAATTCTGTTTGCAAATTAAACTGGAAAAGTATCCAGAGTCTCAAAAGGCAATGATTTGTGAGATAATATGGCATGCCCGGAGCCCTGCTCATCAATGAAAAACCCATATGTAATAATCGAATTCATTTAACATGAATCTTGAGTACGTGGACCATTGCTTGCATGTTAACTTTTTGTTTTGTTTTGTTTTGTTTTGTTTTGCATTTTTAACTCCAGATATCCTAAAGCTCAATTGTTTGGTCTCTGGTTTTCATCCTTAGAGAAGCCATGGAGAACAGACTTGAAAAGTTTAGGAAATCATAATGTGGCAGAGGTGGTGGGAAGAAGAAAGTTGAGCTTTTTCCCCTTGAGAAACTTCTGCATTTAGTTTGTATCTTTCCAGGCAAAACAAATGGGTATTCTTTTCATACAACCATTTTCAAATGAACCTTAGAAAAGTCTTAACATTTAAGGTATTTTATGCACAGAATACACTTAGATTGATAGGAAAGAACTCGTAATGGAGTTTGAGTAAAGAAAATGACTGATGTACTAAACCCAGTAAAAATTGTTGAAAATGTTAAAGGTCAGCATGTTCTAATTGGGAATCTAGATATAGCTTAGATTTCCTATTGGCTTAGAGTATTTGCTATAACAAATGAAGTGCAATGACAATTATATATTCCTACTCGGTCATACTGGACTGGCTTCGTTCTCTTAACATACTCAGTAATGACTCAAGCCTCTGGCTATTAACATACCCTAGTTGCCATTTTTTAATTGCCATGAGCCAAATACTTCTTGGTATACAATTGATCCATTTATTTTAATGGCTGCCTTTTCATTTTCATCTTTTCTTGCTGCTACCCATCTATGTATGTAGTCATTGGGGGGAAAATGTAGCCACATTTTTTATGGGAAGACTTTGTGTTAAAAGTGAACATTTTGAAGGTTTTTAACTGGTGAAACTAGCCTGGAATAATGCCACCAGAGACTGAGTGGAAATCGCCCCTTTTGAAGGTGCCATTCTTATGAGCCAAAAGTTTGTCATTTAAAAGTTCATTTTGCGGGAATAACATGTAATATAATTTGAAATAAAGGTATAGTAACCTTAAAAAGAACATTATAACTGATTGTTGTGAATGGGGTGAATTTGTTAAAATGAGTAACTTTGATAAAGTTTTTCATGCACAGGCAAAATGTATTCACTAGATTTCTACGTAGTGATCTGCTTTTACTTTGTAATTTGTAGTTCTCAAAAGACTTTTTTTTAAAAAAATAAAGTCCATACTTACACTTAAAAAAAAAAAAAAAAAAAGAATATACATAGAACTCTTTACAATGGTAGAGTCAAATAGAGCAGAACTGATTCTGAGATTTTTAAGTTCTTTGCTAATATTTAATACTTTCTCTAGTTAGAATAAACTTTGCATTCTTTTTCAGCTCAAGTTATTTCTCTTGATATGTTCTACCAACCTGGAAAATGAAGCATTTTAAATTATGTTAGTAATAATTTTACTATACTGTGAAACTTTTGCCATTGCCTAGGTGTCAAATCATTTGACATCTAGGTATTTATTGAGCACCAGTGTGTATGTAGTCATTGGCTAAAACACAAGACCTCATAATTTACCAGCTTTAAATAGGCAAAAAGTGAAGACTGCATAATAGTCTATTTATTTTATGGTACTTAATTATAGTATAACTACAAAAGAGAAGAGCTCCATTAAGCAATTCTTCCTTAAAGTATGAATGCCAGCTCATGTAATGATATTATGACTCTGACTCGATCACTCAGAAAATAGTAGGAAAATTTTTTAAAATTCCAGCACCATTATATGTAGGTAGTTTACACTTTTTGGTTCCAGTCACATCCCACTTATACCCTAAGAGTTTCCTTACCTTTTTCAGTATCCTGAATGTACACCCTGCTTTCAACATGAACAGACTATTATTGCCCTGACTTTCCATGACTACTCTGCTCTTCTTAACCAGCCCTCCACCCTCCACTCAGTATTATTTTATTTTCCCCCATGCCAAAACATGTGTTTTCTCCTCATACTTATTTATATCTTTCATGGCTAATTTTCCCAGGGCTCTTTCCTTTGACTAATAACATCCAAGCTCAAGACTAAGAGACCCATGAGGATAGGAGTATCTGTTTCAGATCTTTTCCCATTCCTTTTTCTTCAGATTGGGCTGTACTTCTTTCATTTATTCTAAATTAAACTTCTCCTCAGGCATGGATTTTACAAGACTTTCTCTGCTTTCTAAATCCTAAATCTACCTTCTCTTCCAAGTCTGTATGCCAAGTGTTACTTGTCAGTTCATTGATTCTGGCTTGAAAGTCAGGAAAAGCAAAAGCTACCCACCAGATGACTTACTTGTTCTACTCTCTCACTTTGGGAAAAAAGACAAATTCTGTGTCAGATTTTTTATAGAGTAGTACTTTTCCTAGGGATAAAGACTTATAAAGAATGTGATCTTCTTAGAAGAATTATGCCACATCAGAAGGTGCCATCAAGTGTGGTTTTTGAGGTGTTTATAAAGCATGTCCTAGAACTTTTCCTCATCACAGTTCACAACAGAAAGGATAATCAAATCTATGGCCCTAGCTAAAGTAGATTAGTTATAAAAACATCAATAGCAACTTAAAGAAAGATGTTCTTACCTATAAGGAGGTTCTGTGGCCAAGATCCCAGAAATAGCTGTAGGTTTTTCTTTATATACCAAGTGAGATGCTGCAACTACAGGTCAGAACTGTGTCAGGCACATAGAAGGCACTCATTAAATGTTAGTCTCCTTCCTCCTTTTTATATTTGTGGCTGTTCTATGCCATTAGTCTTCTCTCTCTCTCTCTCTCTCTCTCTCTCTCTCTCTCTCTCTCTCTCTGTGCATATATATTTGTACTTAAAATCTACCTGAATGTTTGTAAGATGTAATAATTATTTCTCTTTAAAATCTGAGGACATTTAGTGTCCTGTATATGGCATATAATGTGACTTTATTTGAATTTTAAACTTAAAAGTAAGAATCAGCACCTTGCAACTAGATTGCATTATGAAATGTGTAATGGGGAGTGGTAAGTCTCATGCATTCAGGTCCTAGAATGCACAATAATTTTCAGTAACAATTTTTACTTCAGAAGCTAGTTGACATAGACCTTTCTTCTCCCTGCTTTTTGACTGTAGAATATAGGACAGCCACAGGTAAAGCTTATGTTAGTGTAACACTTGGCAGGTCACCTACCCCTCTTTTTTTGGTAAGCTTTAGACTGTTCAAAATAGTGTGTTTCAGTGACTACCTCTTGCCTCCTACTATATCTACAAAATTTCTAACCCACTCCTTACAATTTTTGGTCTAGTTTTTATTTTTGGTTGTTGAATAAACTAGAAGAATATGAAAGAATTACTTTTGTTTAAGTTGTTTCACAGCATTTCCTTAAAATGTTTTTACAATAACATTTGCCTTCTTTCTCAAATTCCAGTTTCATATCTGTCATCTTCCTAAGAGCCTTTCTTTCATTTTAATCTCTATCTTTGCTTCGCCTGATTATTTTGCCCATTCCGAAGTACAACTGAGGTGAAGGGAACAGACTTCTTGCTAAATTCTCAAAGAAAAAAGAGGGATTAACTATACTTTAACAATTATAATTTAATTTGGATAATTAAATTAGTACATCATTATTTATAAAGTAAAACCCTATATAGACTTAAATGTACTTTCTCTTCAGATACAAAATGTTTTATTTCATTAAAATTATCATTATTATATCATCATTTTATGAACATGAAATAAACTTGAATGTATTAAAAAATAAAACACCTTCCCTCAGTAGTCCTGCATGCTTTACTATTTCTTCATTCATTAGGATACAATTAACAGGCCTTTCAATAATATTGAACACAATCATATGCAAGGCTTCGATGAAGTAATGTGTTTCTCCAACTAGAATAGTTGTAAATGTGCATGAGTTTAGTTTATTCAAATCTTTAGGCTGTGACCACCTGAGTCACAGACTTGCAGAATTTTAGCTGCCCTATTACTAATTTCACATTTACATAGTTGCTTATATTTTTATATACTCATTTTGTTCCTTGGCCATAACTTTTATTGTTTTCAGATTTCATGACAAATTATCTCTATAAAATAATGTTTACTCAATAAATAGTTACCAAGAGCTTATTATATACTTGTCTTAGTTTGGGCTGCTATAACAAAGTACTATAGACTGAGTAGCTTATAAATAATAGAAATTTATTTCTCATAGTCTGAGAGGCTGTAAAGTCTAAGATCAAGGTGCCAGCAAGTCATATCTGATGAGGGTGGACTTCCTGTTCCACAGATAGCCTCTTCTCATTGTATTCCCACATGGTGAAGAACAGAGAGAGAAGCAAGTTATCTTGTGTCTTTTTTGTGTGTGTGTGACAGAGTCTTACTCTGTTGCCCAGGCTGGAGTGCAATGGTGTGATCTAGGTCCACTGTAGCTTCCACTTCCTAGGTTTAAGTGATTCTCCTACCTCAGCCTCCTTAGTAGCTGGGATTACAGTCCTCCGCGACACCACGCCCAGCTAATTTTTGTATTTTTAGTAGAGACAGAGTTTCACCATGTTGGTCAGGCTGATCTCAAACTCCTGACCTCAGGTGATACACCTGCCTTGGCTTCCCGAAATGCTGGGATTACAGGCTCTCTTATGTCTTTTTGTAAGGCCACTAATCCTATTCATGAGAACTCCATCTTGATTATGTAATTACCTCCCAAAGGCCCACGTCTATTACTATCACATTGGGAGTGAGGATGTCAACATATGAATTTTGGAGGGACACAACTTTGTCCATAGCAAAACAGCACTGATCTAAGTACTGGGAAATAAATAGTATAATTACAAAAGCTCTGTTCTAATAAGTACTCATTCAACTTAGTGGAGATATTTGGTATAGAATAAATAGGTGTATTTTATAGTAAGTTGTGTGGTGTTAAGTGCTGCAGAGAAAAACAGATCGGTTAAGGGGAATAGAATTGTGGTGGTGTTGCATGTGTGTAAATTAATGTGTGTAGGTATGTGGATTTGCATGCATGTGTGCATGTGTGTGTTTGGGGTTATGTTTTAGTAGATTTGTTAGGAGAGGTTTCATAAGATGACATTTTGGCAGACACTAAAGGAAGCAATTGAGCAAATTACGAAACTCTAGAGGACTTTCCAGGGGAGGGGAACAGAGGATATGAAGTGCGACTTCGTTTGGCATATTCAAGGAACAGAAGGAAGGCCAGTTTGGCTGGAACAGAATGAAGGAAGGAGTGGGGTATGCACTCCCTTCAGAGATAGGTCTGAAAGTGACAGATTAGGGGGGAGGGAAGGAGGATCATGTTTAGACTTTGAAAGCCTTTTTAAAAATAATGATTTTCTTACAGAACTGACATGATTTGGCTTGCATTTTTATTTTATTTCTTTTTAATTTTTGAAGTATTCTTTATGAACAATAAAATATACTGGTCTTAAATGATCGGGTCTAAAATTCTTGACAATTATATGTTTATATACACCATGTAATGACCATCCAGAACAAGATACAGAACATTTTCATCACACCAGAAAATTTCCTTATGCCTTTTCCATTCAGTTCCTCCCTTTTTCTGTTCTTAAGCTTTATATAAATGGAACGATGTAGTATGTACTCTTTTGTGTCTGGCATCTTTTGTGCAACATATGTTTATGAAATTCATCCTTGTTTTTACATAAATTAACAGTTCATTTCTTTTTATTGCTGTGTAGTATTCTAATGTTAATTTATTTATATTTTCATGTATTCATTTTCCTGTTGGTGGATATTTGGGTGATTTGGGGTTTGAAGCTGTTATAAATAAGGCTGCCATCATGTCTTTTTGAGAACATATGTTTTTAATTCTTTTGAGTATTTACCTAGCTGTCATGCTGGATCATAGGGTAGATGTATGTTCAACTTTATAGCAATATGCTAAATAGTTCTTCAAAGTAGTTGTGTCATTTTAAACACCCACTAGCATTGTAAAAAGTTGTGGTTGTTCTCTACTGGTATTACTGTGCTTTTTCTCTTTTTTTCTTTTTTTTTTTTTTTTATCTTAGCCACACAGGCCATACAGGTAGGTGTAAATGGTTTTTGTTGTTTTAATTTGCATTTCTCTGAGAGCTAATGCTAGTGCACACCTTTGCTGTGCTTATTGGCCATGTCTTCTTTGTGATGCACCTGTTCAAATGTTTTGTCCATTTTGTAAATGAGTAGCCAGTCTTTGTATTGTTGATTTGTGGAAGTTCTTTATATATTCTCATAAGAAGTTCTGTTTTCAGGTGTATGTAGTACAAGTACTTTTTCCCAGTTTGTAGTTTTTGCCTATTACATTTTCTTAAAGGAGTCTGTTAAAGAGCAGAAATTTCTGCTTTTGATGAAGTTTATATTTTTATTCTGTTCAGTAGTACTTGTGCCCTGTTCAATCAATTTTCACAAGCTTTTAAAGCTATTCTTCTCCGTTTTCTTCTAGAAGCTTTATAGTATTAGCTTTTATATTTAGGTTTATGATCTGTCTCAAATTAATTTTTGTATATTAAGTTAGGAAAAGATTGAGGATTTTTATCCCATATATATATCCATATGTTAAAAAGACTTTCTTTTTCCTTACTGCGTTGGCTCAGTGACTTGGCTGACCATTAATTGACCATGTATGCCTTACATGTTACAAATATCACTGGTTCCTGTGTTGACAGTATACTGTGGTAGGTACATCAAGGAAAGAAACAGAGATGACCATTAAAAGGCCATTAAAATAACCCAAAGGATAGGCTTGGATAACAGTAATAGCAAGTCTAATTTTAGATATATTTTTAAGGTAAAGTAAGGAGATTTGCTAATAGATTGGATGTGGTTTGAGAGAAGAGGAGACATCAAGAATGGCTCCAAGTTTTCAGGCTAGAATATCTTGTAGAAAGCTAAAGAGGTGAAGTTGTTATTTACTAAGATGAGGAAGACTGTGCATTAATAGATTTGAAGGGCAAAATTTGGAGATTATATATGTATCCCCACATACATACCCACATATTTGGTCTCCAGGTAGAGAAATAATCATTACATCCTTTTTTTTAAAGCCATTTGTGATTTGTTCATTAGTGATTTTACTTACGTTTCCTCCAATCTTCAACTGAAGATTTTTATGGAAACCTAGATTCATACATTCAAATGTCTACTAGATATTTCCAGTTGGAATGCACTCAAGTGCCTCAAGATCACCTTTTTAAATCTAAACTTAACAACTAGCCCCCAGTATATTGTCCCCTCAACATTCTTTCCACAATTCTTTTCCTGGCAGGATAATGTTTCAAGTCAAACAAAAACTGTGGAGTCAATCCAGATGTTTCCCTCTCTCTTGCTGTCATATCTAAGTCTCTTTATTTGCCAAGCCCTAGCAAAATATATATTAAAAATATAACAAGAACTTACCTTTCATTTATATCTCTTTTGTAGGTATTGCCTAAGAATTTTTGAGACTGCATTCATAAAAATTCCTATTAACCTCTAGCCCCGGGTTTTTGCTCCCTAACGAAATCTGGCTCCGTTGTATAGTAGTTAATACAGCACATGTTGGATGACATGAGTTAAAATCCGGCTTGGGTTGACATCATGGTTCTGCCTTTTCTTAGCTGTGCAATCTCAGTCAAATTAGGAAATATCTCTGTAAAATGATGATAACATTGGCAATGATATCATAGAATTTGTTGGTAGACTGAACTGGTTAGGAAGTATAAAGTGCTGTAGTGCTTGGCACAGGGTACTCAATAGATGCTAGCTCTTTCTTGCCTCTTGTTTTTATTATTCTAATAAAACCATGAACTCCCCTTTAAATTCAGGCTCATTATCTCCCTTGTATTACTTGTATTATTCATTGCACTAACTTCCTATCTGGCCTCCCTGACACCAGGTGGCAAACTCTGTTAGTGATTTAATTTTTCCTCTAAAATGAGAACTTGTTTAATTTCTTCAACTAGTTTAAAATCCTATGAGTCCCACATTACCTATACAATACATGTTCCTATTAAGAGTGAGTCATTTATAACATTACCTTGCTACCCTTCTCTCTTCCTAGTCCTCGCTTTGTCCCCTCCAGTCTCATTTCCTATTGATTCCTCCAATGTTGTGCTCAAGTTACACTGGTTAGTTCCCACTCGGGTACTGATACGTGCCTGTTTGTGTCTCCAACCTTCTTCCTCATGGTGACAAATAATTGTCTCTTTTTCAAGATTCTCTTTCAATACTTTGTGAATTTTTTTCTTTGTCTAACAAACCAACATAGGTATGCTTTCCTTCATGTTTTCTTTCTTCATATCCTTCAAATGACTCTACAACAGCATAGAAAGGTAAAGTATTATTAAGAGTTGACACCAGAGTTTGGTTCACACATAATCTTTATTCAAATTAATCAATTAATTAATAAACTTAGTAAGCTACTCTCAATAGAAGTAGAAACATTGAGTGTCAAGATGCCAGTAGGAACCCAAGTAACAAAGGGTCAGTACAGTTTTTCTATGTGAGAAATTGGGGTTTTAATTTAAACTGGGTCCTACAAGAAAGAGAGGAAAAATTAGTGAGTGTGAGATTAAGGAGTTTCTGGATGATGGCCCAGTGAACATAAACTTGTATAGAGGCGTTTGAAGGACATTTATGTACAGACCTGCTAAATGTTTTTTTTGTTGTTGTTGTTTGTTTGTTTTGCTTTTTTTTTTTTTTTTTTTTTTGAGATGGAGTCTCACTCTGTCACCCAGGCTGGAGTGCAGTTGCACAATCTCGGCTCACTACAACCTCTGCCTCCCATGTTCAAACCAATTCTCCTGCCTCACCCTCCCGAGTAGCTAGGATTACAGGTGCTTGCCACCACACCTGGCTGATTTTTGTATTTTTAGTAGTGACGGGGTTTCACCATGTTGGCCAGGCTGGTCGTGAACTCCTAACCTCAGGTGATCCACCCGCCTCGGCCTCCCAAAGTGCTGGGATTACAGGTGTGAGCCACCGCACCTGGCCAGACCTGCTAAATGTTTAACCTCTCCTCTGCCTCCTCCTGACATCTTCAAGAAATGTTGCTGCATGCTGTCTTATGTACATGGTAGGTGTGTTGGAGGGAGTTGGTGAAGAATTCAGGAAGCATCAAGGAAGGGCTGAATTTCACAGCAAGTACAATGTGTAAAGGGCCCAGATGAGAGGAAAGAGGTATGGGGAGGAAGGTTTATATTTAGAGCAAAGGCACGAAGGTTCTTGCTGATAGCCTGGTTACAAGAGTAGACTCTCCTGCTACTTCTTGGCCTAATTAAATCTCTCACATTCAACTCTTAACCCAAATGTTTCTTCCTCAAGAAAGCGGGCCCTGACCCCTGGGGTTAGGTTAAATTCCTTGGTTCCAGGATCTTTTGACACTACATATTACAGAGCTAGAGTTTTTAATTTAAGGCAGTATTCCTCCCAGAGGCACTTTGCAATGTGTGAACTATCTTTGTTACCACTGCAGGGGATGGAGGGAGGGGTGCTACTTGCTTCTAGTAGGGTGGAGACCAGGAATGCTGCTAAATGTCCTAAAATGAGCAAAGAATTATTCAGCTCAGTATGTCAATAGTTTTGAAGTTGTGAAGCACTGGTGCAGAGTCTAATATAATTCTATATGTATATAGCTCCCCACTACACTCTAACCTCTGTAAGGAAAGATTGAGTCAGTTAGTTAACTAAAGCATTCTCATTGCCTCAGCTACTGATTGGCACATAGTACATGCTCAGTTAAAAAGTTGATTGATTGAATGATTGATTGCCATTATATCTGTTTATTCATGTGTCTGTTTTGTACTAGACTTCACTCTTCCTGAAGCCAGAACAAGTGCCTCTTCATCAATGAGACAATAGCATGAAGCATAGTTCCTAATACACAGTAGATGGAATAGAATATTTTTTCAGTAAATGAAAAATTACACAGTTCTCTGTGGTTTTCAAGAGAAGAAAATGCAAGGCTAACACATTCTCTCTCTACTTTTCCAAAATTCTCTTCAAATCCAATTTTTTTACATTCCCACGCCAAGAAAACTTGGCCACAGGAATAATTTGTCAGTAGTGATAATTAGTCCAAGACTGAAAAACTGTGTTTTAAGGTAAAAGAGAAAAAAAAAATTCTCTGTAAACTAATAACTTTTTCAGCCTCTTTCAGGTCTAAATAATAGAAGGGGCTGGTGTTTTAAGTATCAGAAAAGGAAGCTGCCTCCCTTGGTGATATTTTCCATGTTCTTAAAGAATTCATAATCTAGCAGGAAGGTAGACATGTAAACAAATCATCACAATGCAATGAGAAAGAGAAGAGACTATGTCATTGGGTTCTCATTGCCTAAAATAGTGCTTGCTTAGAATAAGTACTTGCCAGATGAATTTGAAAGTAGCTGGCATAAGCCTGACAATAATGAGGTTCAATAAATAACCACTTTCACTTTTCTCCTAATGGGGAAAAACTCAATGTATTCAGGTTTTGTTTGGTGCATATGTTTTCTTAGCACTTCTACCAGGTCTTTCACAAAGGATCTGATTATGTTCACCGAGGGATCAAGGAATCTCTATTTTATGTTTGCTGAGGCTCAGTCTAAATTTCAGGGATGAGGGACAGTGAAGGAAAAGAACTTTCTTTCACTGGTTTTGTCTCAGTATTCTTGTAGATACACACTACCCTCTATCGAAACTGAACGAACTGTAATTCCCAGACCCTATTTCATGGGGTTTCAGCTGTATGCCTTTGCTTCCTTCTGCTTCCTTCTCATGAAACGACTTTCTTTTCTTTAAAAAAACAAACAAACAAAAATCATGCTCACCTATCCAGTCTAAAAACCCCTTTGAGTATAAAGCCTCACCTGTTCAAATAGTAGATTGCTCCCTCCTCAAATATCAATAGCACTGTTGTTTTCAGTTCAGTAGCACTCATGTCACATAATGCCAGCTATCTTGAATTCCATGGTCTGAGTACCTATCCTATCTAATTAGGTGATGGGAACTCTGCAGCACAAGGGGTTTGGGCTTTGAATCATACAGATTTGGGGTCTCAGAATGGTTATTTATCCTTCAGAAAATTATATGATTTAATTTAGACTCATTTTCCTCATCTGCAAAAGGGACGTAATAATGTGCAACATTGAATCAAATGTTATTTAAAAAGTACCTAGTGTAGTGACAGGTATATATTAAAATCTCAATAAACTTTACTGTTCTACCTGTGTCCTTTTCACTAGATTGTAAGCTTCTAGATTCTTTTTTTCAGTCTAGAGCAAAACATAACAAAATCAGTGTACAATATCTTTAAATAAAGTTTTTAAAGAACAGTTTTAGATTTACAGAAAAATTGCAAAGAAAGTTCCCACTACATTTTCCACACAATTAATGTTACATTAGTATGATACATTTGTTATGATTTATAAACCAATATTGACACATTATTAAATTCATACTTTATTCATATTTTCTTAGTTTTTACTTAATGTTCTTTTTCTCTTCCAAAATCCCATCCACAGTTCATTACATTTAATCATATCTTTTCAGGCTCCTCTTGGTTGTGGCAGTTTTTCAGATATTCCCTTCTTGGATTACTTTGTTTCTTTTAAGAGTTATTGGTCAGTATTTTGTGAAATGTCCCTTAACTGGAATTTGTCTGATTTTTCTTATGATTAGACTGAGGTTATGTATTTCTGAGAGGAGGATCACAAAAGTAAAGGGGATTTTCATCATAATGTTAAGGGCACATATTATCAGTGACTTAGCAATGTTATTGTTGACCTTGCCTAAGGTAGTATTTGTCATGTTTCTCCATTATAAAATTACTGTTTTTGCTCCCTTTTTTCATATTATATTCTTTTTGAAGAATGTCACAATCTGCAGCCCACACTTTAAATATGGGGGGTTATATTCCACCTCCTTAAGGGTGAAGTATCTAAATATTATTTGGAATTGTTCTGCATGGGGGATTTTAAGGTTCTACTAGAAAAGCAGAACCAATAGGATTATCCGGGTAGGTAGATAGATAGATAGATAGACAAACAGGCAGGCAGACATGGCCTGTGTGATTATGGGGGCTGGCAAGTCTCAGATTTGTATAGGACAGGCAGCCATGCTGGAAGTTCTCATACAAGAGCTGATACTGCAGCCCAGGGAGTCCAAAATTAGAATTTCTCCTTGTTCCAGGAAACCTCAGTTTTTCTTTTAAGATACTTCAATTCATTGAATGAAACCATCCAGATTATCAAGGATAATCTCCTAAGTAAAGGTGATTATTACTCCTTTACTGATCATCAACTGATTGTAGATATTAACTACATCTATAACGTATCTTCACAGTAACACCTAGATTAGTGTTTAATTGAATAAGTAGGCACTATGACCAAACAAAGTTAAAACATTCAACTGACCATTATAGTCTCTTCTCTCTCATTTGTATATACAATTGTTTATTTATATCAATGTGAACTCATAGTTATTTATTTTTTTACTTCAGGTTATAATGCAACATTACTTTGTTTATTCTGCTGCTCAAATTGTTCCAGCTTTGAACTCCTTCACTTGCATACCTTGCCCCTTTAACATAATCCCATCTGTGTTTATGTGTGTATTTAGCACTTCTTCACTGTCTAGCACTACATGATGCTCCAGGCTTATTTTATATATGTCCTGGATAAATGAATTAGCCATTTATCCAAAATCCCAGGTTCCCTTTATTGCAAAATAGTATTAGAAACCAAGATTTCTGTGTCACATGTGCTGCTTATTATAGAGTACCCTATTTCTAACCCTCTCAACTTACAAGACAAAGAAATATGTGTGCCCACTAGCTAACCAACATATATACATGATAGGGTTTGGCTGTGTCCCCACCCAAATTTCATATTGAATTCCCACATGTTGTGGGAGGTACCCAGTGAGAGGTAATTGAATCATGGGGGCAGGTCTTTCCCATGCTGTTCTTGTGATAGTGAATAAGTCTCACAAGGTCTGATCGTTTTATAAGGGGGAGTTTCCTTGCACAACCTCTCTCTCTTTGCCTAATGCCATCCGTATAAGATGTGACTTGCTCCTCCTTGCCTTCCACCATGATTGTGAAGCCTCCCTGGCCACATGGAACTGTGGTACATTAAACCTCTTTTTCTTCCCAGTCTCAGGTATGTCTTTATCGGCAGCATGAAAATGGGCTAATACAAAATACAAACCTGTAAATATTTCTTTCTTTATGCTTCTAACTCTTAATATATTGCTACATGGATCATCCTAGCCTCTTATTTGTGGTTATCTGTAGACTCTCACTCCAACAGTAAGAAACCTTGCTTCTACCATCTGCCTTCCATCTTTTTTCTTTCAATTCCAGTATACATATATAGTGGTTTGAGAATTGTTAACCTGTCCCCTCCTGGGAAGCAGCTTTATCAACTTCCAAAGTTACCTAGATCATTATGTTTCCTCCCCACCCTCTTCAATGATGTAATTTCATACAGGGAGGCAGTAACAAAGTTAGATTTTTTTTTCATTTTCTATGTTCCTTCCTGGTATTCTCAGTCTTATAAGTAATTTTTTAAAAATTTGCACACATTAAGTTTCACTTTTTGTGCTGTAAAGTTCTATGAATTTTAAGAAATTTATAATATCATGTATCCACGATTACAGTATCATACAGAATAGTTTCACTATCCTAAAATCATTCATACTTTACCTACTCACATCCCCCGAATCCCTAGCAGCCACTAATCATTTTAAAGTCTTTATAGCTTGCCTTTTCCATAATGTCACTTAACTGGAATTATACGATATGTAGACTTTCAGACAGATGTCTTTCACTTAGCAATATGCATTTAAGATTCATCCATGTCTTCACATAGCTTGATCACTCATTTCTCTTTTATCACTAAGTAGTATTCTGTTGTGTGAATATACCACAATTTTATTGTCTATTTACCATTGAAGCAACATCTCATTGCTTTGCATTTTTAGCACAGTCATGTCTTGATCCACAAAAGAATGGAGTGTGGTATTGAATGAGAAAAACAGTGTCTTCAGGCTTAAAACTAAAAAAAAAACGAAAGAACCTGACTTCTTTAATTTATTTCAACCTCAACTTCTCTGATGCTTCTTCTTCTTTGCCTACCCCATGCCTACTTAACTGGGAATTTATTTCTACCACTTACCAGAGAGGATTGTAGCTTTTGCAGCAGAAAGGAAATTTCACAGAACTATTATGTGTAGCCTGAATTGAATCAGAAACCCCCAAAACAAGGAAAGCTGCATTATCATTTTGTTTGCCCTGAAAAATATATAAAGCCTATTAAACATAAAAAGGAAAAACAAGCCATACATAGAGCCATCATGAGTAATCACAAAAGGACTAAAACTATTACATTTTTCTTTGGATACTACAGTTAATATTACCTATTTCTGGACTCTCATGGGTGAGGATTTTAAGGTATAAAAGTTGTCAAGTGAATAGAAGATAAAATACATGGAGATGATTATTATATCAAACATTTACCTTTACTAGCACATTGACGAAAAATGCATATGTTATGCTGTCTAGTTTTTCTTTAATTCTGTTCTCAGAGACCCTCAAAATCTCTCCAAACTGGAATGCAACACCCCTTATATCTTGGAAACAGAAATTGCTTTGGGACACCATCTCTGAAACAGGAAAAAAATAATACACCATCCTCACTGAAGCATGCCAATTCCAAGGCTGATTCATATTCCAAATCGAGTTGTTTTCCCTTTCTTAGCTTTCCTTTGAATCTGTTTCCAAGCCATAATCTGTAGACAACTGTTCGCCCACGTACCTGTGGTTAGGGCATTGTGAGACAGCTTTGCCTTTATTCCATATTAAATGCAACAATTACTTTAATGCAGCACTGAAGTAAAAATGCTGTAGGCACTCTAGAAAATAAAAGCCAGAAATTTCTAACTTAATGGTCCTGGAGAAGAAAAATCTCAGTTTCATTGTGTATCCTTTGCATGTCACAATGTACGTTTGACATAAAGCTGAAAGATAAATAAGATAAGCCACTTTCATCTTACTACTTATTATGAAGGATTAGAAAAATATATTCAGGGCAAGCTGAGGTCTTACTTTTTCCCCGGTTTTGGGTTTTGTTCTTGTGTATCTTTCTGGGCAGGGAGTTCTAAAGTCAGGTTTCTGAGATGAGCTCCGGAGGAGGGCAGAGAAGAGAACTCAACTCAAATGTACCACTTAGTTGAATATATATCTTTTCAGCAATATAAATTATCTACCTGGTTTTTGAATTAAAATTGCTTCATATTTTTTAATTATAAAAGGAACTTTCATTTAATCAACGAATATTTGAATTTTTTTTTTTTTTTTGAGGTGGAGTCTTGCTCTGTCTCCAGGCTGGAGTGCCGTGGTGCAATCTCGGCTCACTGCAACCTCCGCCTCCTGGGCTCAAGCAATTCTCGTGCCTTAGCCTCCTGAGTAGCTGAGATTACAGGTGTGTGCCCCCATGCCTGGTTAATGTTCATATTTTCAGTAGAGATGGGGTTTCAACATGTTGGCCAGGATGGTCTCAAAGTCCTGACCTCAAGTGATCCACTTGCCTCGGCCATCCAAAGTGCTAGGATTACAGGCATGAGGCACCATGCCTGGCCAAATAAATATTTCTTGAAAGCCTACTTTGCCAATAGAATGCTGATAAATTCTGAAGATATACTAACAGATTAAGAAGATAAATCAGATTAATTATTTATAGGGGAAAATAGATTTATAAGACATTAACAACAAGAAAGTATACAATTAAGTACTTGATAAGTGGTATAGAACTGTTGTTCCTACGAAAGAGGCACTGGAGTCATTGTTTCAGAAAATAGCAGAATCTCTTGAAATTGCTGGTACAGTCAGAATGTCATTAGAACTCATAAAAGAAAAAGAGAGTGAGCATGCATATTGTGGAGCCAGAGTATTTCAAGAAAGACATCAAATAGAATAGAGAGAGAGGAAGTAAAGCAAGATGACTGAATAGAATCCTCCAGCCATCTTCTCCCCACAGGAATACCAAATTGAACAACTATCCATGCCAGAAAGCACCTTCATAAGAACAAAACATCAAGTAGGCAGTCAAAGTACCTCTTTCAACATAATATCAAGGAACAAGGGATTGAAGAGGATAGGAAAGACAGTCTTGCATTGCCTACACCAACCTCCCCTAACCCCAGGCAGGGCTGCATGTAGAGAGAATCTGTATGCTTGGGGGAGGGAGAGTAAAGTGAGTATATTAAATTTGCATTGGAACTCAGCATTGCTCTGTCATGGCAGAACACCACACAGGACAGAATTCTGCCAGCACCCATGGAGAGAGCATTTAAACCAGCCCTTGGCCATAAGATAATTCTCAACACCAGCAAAAGTAATCTGAGTCCTGGCTGGTGCTACCATACGCTGGCTCTAACACAGTGGCCTAGGACCCAGAAAAAAATGTTCAGTGGTAATCAGTCCACAGGCACTGCAGTCTTCGGGCAAGCCCTGTTGCTGCCTTGGTCTCAGAGGCAGTGGACTGACTTCGCATGTTCACAACCCGGTGCAACACCAGCTGTGTCAATAAAGAAAGTGCCTACATCAAGGCAGTGCAGCTTAGGGAGAGTATCTTTCCACTTGAGGAAAGGAGAGGGAAGGGTACAGAAGACTTTGTCTTGCAACTTGGGTACCAGCTCTGACACTGTAAAATAAAGCACAAAGCAGTTTCTGAAACCCCTGTTTCCAGACCTTGGCACTTGGACAGCATTTCTAGACCCATCCTGGGCCAGAAGGGAATCTACTGCCCTGAAGGGATTGACCACCTGCTGAATAAAAAGCCCTTGGCCTTGAATAAATATCAGCAGTAGCCAGGCAGTAGTCACCATGAGCCTTGGGTGAGATCCAGTACTGTGCTGGCTTCAGGTTTGACCCAGCATAGTGCCAGCTGTGGTGGTCATGGGATTGCTCATGTTACCTCTGCCCCAACTCCAGGTAGCCCAGCATGGAGAGAGACCCCTTATGATTAGGGGAAGGAGAGACAAGAGAGCTAGAGACTTTGCTTGATAACCCAGAGAATTGTCCCTTATTTTGCCAAAGTCCAGTGAGGAAGTCTGCCAGAGTCACAGCATTCCTGGATTTAGGGTACCTTCACCTAGTGCTAATAAGGCTGCAGTGACCACCAGCTTAGATCACAACACTCAATCCTGTTTGAATATGTGGAAAGCCCTCTCAAGAATGACAGGTACAAATAAGCACAGACTGCAAAGACTGGAATAAACACCTAACTCTTCAACGTCTAGACATTCATCAACATTCACAAGCATCAAGAACATCCAGGAAAACATGACCTTACCAAATGGACTAAATAAGGCACCAGTGAATAATCCTGGAGTGTTAAAGATATGTGACCTTTCAGACTGGGAATTCAAAATAGCTATCTTGAGGAAGCTCAAAGAACTTCAAGATAACACAGAGATGGAATTCAGAATTCTATCAGGAAAATTTAACAAAGAGATTGAATTAAAATAAAAATTCAACAGAAATTCTGGAGCTGAAAAATTGAATTGACCAACTAAAAAATACACCAGAGTTTTCCAAGAGCAGAATTAACGAGCAGAAGGAAGTATTAGTGAGCTTGAAGACAGGCTATATAAAAATTCACAGTCAGAGGAGAAAAGAGTAAAAAAGAATAAAGCAAACCTACGAGATCTAGAAAATAGTCTTAAAAGGGAAAATCTAAAAATTACCGGTCCTAAAGCAGAAATAGAGAGATTAGGATAGAAAGTTTAATCAAAGAAATAATAACAGAGAACTTTTTAAACCAAGAGAAAGATATGAATATTAAGGTGTAAGAAGGTTATAGAACACCAAAAAGATTCAACCCAAATAAGAAGACACCATAATAATCAAATTATCAAGGCATATAATAATCAATCTCTCTAAGCTCAAAGATAAAGGATCCTAAAAGCAGCAAGAAAACAACAACAACAACAACAACAACAACACGTAAAGGAGCTCAAGTAGGTCTGGCAGCAGACTTCTCAGCAGAAACCTTATAGGCCAGGGGAGACTGGAATAACATAATAAAAGTACTAAAGAAAAAAATTCTTCCAACCTAGCATATTACACCCAGAAAAATTATGTTTCAAGCATGAGGAAGAAATAAAGACTTTCCCAGACAAACAAAAGCTGAGGGATTTTGTCAACCAGACTGTATTACAAGAAACGCTGAAGGGAATTCTTGATCTGAAAGAAAAAGACATTAATGAACCATGAGAAATCATCTGAAGGTGTAAAATTTACTGGTAGTAATAAGTACACTATTAAGAAAGAAAGTAAGAAACATACAGAATGCTGCAGCACTATAAATGCAGTGTATAAACCATTCATACATTTTGTAGGAAGTATAAAAACTATCAAAAATTAATAACTTCACAAGTTTTTAAGATATATAAAAGATATATAAATAATATAAAAATACAATATAAAAAGATATAAGTAGAAACAACAAAAAAGTCACAAAGCAGGGGTAATGGAGTAGAAATCTAGTGTTTTTTGCCAGGCGTGGTGGCTCACGCCTGTAATCCCAGCATTTTGGGAGGCCAAGACGGGTGGATCACCTGAGATCAGGAGTTTGCTACCAGTCTGACCAACGTGGAGAAACCCCGTCTGTACTAAAAATACAAAATTAGCCAGCGTGGTGGCGCATGCTTGTAATCCCAGCTACTCGGGAGGCTGAGGCAGGAGAATTGCTTGAACCTGGGAGGTGGAGGCTTCAGTGAGCCAAGAGCACACCATTGCACTCCAGCCTGGGCAACAAGAGAAAAACTCTGTCTTAAAAAAAAAAAAAAAAAAAAAAAAAAAAAAGAAGAAGAAGAAAGAAAGGAAAAAAAGAAATTCAGTGGTTTTTTTTCTACCTTTCTCATTGCTTCTTTGTATTTTCTTTGTAATCAGAGTGGAGCTGTCATTAGTTTAAAATAATTGGTTATAAGATGTTATTTGCCAGCCTCATGGTGACCACAAAACAAAAACCTATAATACATACGCAAAAATAAAAAGTTAGAAATTAAACCATGCTCCCAGAGAAAATCACCTTTAAACAAAGAAAGACAAGCAGAGAAAGAGAGGAGGAGAGGAACAACAAAACAATGAGAAAACAAATAACAAAATGGCAATAGTAAGTCTTTATCAATAATAGCACTAAATACAAATGGACTAAATTATTCAATCAAAACAGTGGTGAATACATAAAAAAGACCTAATGATGTAGTGCCTACAAGAAACTCACTTTTTCTATAAAGACATACATAGACTGAAAATAAGGAGGTGGAAAAGATATTCCATGCAAATGAAAGATAAAGAGCAAAAGTGACTATATTATATTAGACAAAATAGATTTCAAGACAAAAATGATAACAAGACAAAAAAGGTCATTATATAATGATAAAAGGGTCAATCTAGCAAGAAGATAAAACAATTGTACATACGTGTGGATCCAATGCTGGGGCAACCAGATACATAACGTAAATATTATTAGAGATAAAGAGAGGGACAGACCCAGATACAATACTAGCTAGGGACTTCCAACACCCCTAACAGCACTGGGCTGATCATTTAGACAGAAAAGCAATGAAGAAACATCAGACTTAATCTGCATTATAAACCAAAGGGACTTAATAGCCATTTATAGACCCTTTCATTCAACAGCTGCAGAATACACATTCTCCTCAGCTCAGGGAACATTATTAAGGGAAGATCATATGTTAGGATACAAAATACATTTCAATTTTTAAAAAATTGAAATCAAGTATCTTTTCTGACCACAATTAAATAAAACTAGAAATCAATAACAAGAGGAACTGTGGAAACTATACAAACACACGGGAAATAAACAATATGCTCCTGAATAACCACTTTATCAATGAAAAAATTAAAAAGGAAATGTATTATTTTTGGAAACAAATGAAAATAGAAACACAACATACCAAAACTTACGGGATACAACAAAAGCAGGGAAGCTTATAGCAGTAAATGCATACATAAAAAAGTAGAAAAACTTTAAATAGACAACGAAACAATGTGTCATAAAGAGCTATAAAAGCAAGAGCAAACCAAACTCAAAATTAGTAGAAGAAGAGAAATAATAAAGATCAGAGCATAAATAAATAAAATTTAAAAAAGTGTGAAAGGGCAAAAAAATGAAAAGTTGGTTTTTTGAAATGGTAAACAAAATCAACAAACCTATAGCCAGAGTAAGAAAAAAAAGTAAAGAACCAAATAAATAAAGTCATAGATGAAAAAGGAGACAACTAATAACACAGAAATTCAAAGGATTATTAGAGACTATTATGAGTCAACACATAAATAAATAAATGCAAATACATTGGAAAACCTAGAAGAAATTAATAAATTCCTAGACACATACAACCTACCAAGTTTGAATAATGAAAAAATCCAAAACTTGAACAGACCAATAACAAGTAACAAGATTGAATCAGTAGTAGAAAGTTTTCCATCAAAGAAAAGCCCGGGACCTGATAGCTCCAGTGCAGAATTCTACCAACCATTTAATGAAGAATTATTACCAATTCTACTCAAACTATTCTAAAAAATGAAGGAGGAGGAGATACTTCTAAATCCATCCTATGAAGCCAGGATTGCCTCAATACGAAAACCAGACAAAGACATGACAAACAAAAGAAAACTATCAATACCCCTGATGAACATACATACAAAAATCTTCAAGAAAATATTAGCAAACCACATTCAACAACACATTAAAGATATCATTCATCATGACCAAGTGGGATTCATCCCACAGTGATTAGTATATGCAAATACATCAGTGTGATACTTTATATCAATGGAATGAAGGATAAAAAACATGATCCAAAATTCAACATCCTTTCATGGTAAAACCTCTCAAAAAAAATAGCGAATAGAGAGAACACTATAAAAGCCATATACAATACAACCCCAGCTAGTATCATACTGAATGAGGAAAAACTTAAAGGCCTTTCTTTAAAGTCTGAAACAAGAAGGCTATCCACTTTCACCACTTTTATTCAACATAGTACTTGAAGTCCTAGTCAGAGCAATTAGACAAGAAAAAGAAATATAGGACACTCAAATTGAAAAGAACTGTTAAAAATGTTAAATGTTACAATGCTTATACTACCCAAAGCAATCTATAGATTCAAGGCAATCCCTATCAAACTACCAATGAGATTTCTCAAATAAATTTTTTAAAATCCTAAAATTTATATGGAACCACAAAAGACCCAAAATATTCAAAGCTATCCTGAGCAAAAAGAACTAAGTTGGAGGAATTACATTACCTGACTTCAAATTATGCTATGGAGCTATAGTAATCCAAACAGCAGGGTACTGGCATAAAAACAGACACATAGGCCAATAGGACAGAATATAAAATACAGAAATAAATGCATGCATTTACATTTAATTCATTTTCAACAAAGATGGTAAGAACATACACTGGGGAAAGGGCAGTCTCTTCAGTAAATTGGCTGGGAAAACTTATCCATATCTAGAAGAGTGAAACTACGCCCCTATCTTTCACTGCATACAAAAATCAAATCAAAGTGGATTAATGACGTAAATCTAAGACCTGAAACTTTAAAACTACCAGAAGAAAACTTTAGTGAGACAATCCAGGACATGAGTGTACAACCTTTTGGCTTCCCTGGGCCACATTGGAAGAATAATTGTCTTCGGCCACACATAAAATGCACTAATACTGACAAGCCAATGAGCTTAAAAAAAAAAGGTTAGTGAATAATTTTATGATATTCACCACCACAAATAAGCAAAAAAGTCCTCCCTTTAAAAGGGTTGGACACCTTTCATCCTGGACATTGGTCTGGGCAAAGATTTCTTGAGTAAAACCTCAAAAGCATGGGCAACCAAAGCAAAATGGAGAAATGGGATCACAACAATCTAAAAAAGCTTCTGCACAGCAAAGGAAACAATCAATGAAGTGAATAGATAACCCACAGAATGGGAGAAATGTTTGTAAACTACCCATCTGACAAGGAATCAATGCCCAGAATATATAAAGAGCTCAAACAACTCGATAGGTAAAAAAACAAATAATCCAGTTTGAAAATAGGCAAAAAGATCTGAATAGACATTTCCCAAACAAAGACATACATATGACAACAGTATGTGAAAAAATGCTCAATATCACTAATCATCAGATAAATGCAAATCAAAACTACAATGAGTATCATCTCATCCCAATGAAAATGGCTACTATCAAAAAGACAGGCAATAATGAATGCCGGCAAGGATGTGGAGAGAGGGAGACCCTTGTATGGTACACTACTGGTGAGAAAGCAAATTTGTTATAGCCACTGTGGAGTACAGTGTAGAAGTTCCTAAAAAACAAACAAACAAACAAACAAACAAAAACACAAGAGACCTATGATATGATCCAGTAATCCTACTGCTGGGTATGTGTCCAAAAGAAAAAAACCATAATATTGAAGACATATTTGCAATCCTATAATTATTGCAGCACTATTCACAATAGCCAAGATATCAAAGCAATCTAAGTGTCCATCAATGGATGAATGGATTAAAAAATGTGGTAATACACACAATGGAATATTATTCAGCCAAAAAATCAGAATAGAATCCTGTCATTTGCAACAACATGGATGGAATTAGAGGACATTAAGTGAAATAAGCTGAGCACAGAAAGAAAAATATTCCATATTGTCACTCAAATGTGGGAGCTAAAAATAAATATAATTTATGAAGGTAGAGAATAGGATGATGGTTGCCAGAGGCCAGCAGGGTAGTGTGGAGGGAGATGATAAAGAGGAGATAGTGGGTACAAAAACGCAGTTAGATGGACTGAATAAGATCTAGTATTTGGTAGCACAATAGGGCAACTATAGTTAAAAATAATTTATTGTATGTTTAAAAATAACTGAAATTGTGGAACTGGAATGCCCTTAACACAAAGAAATGATAAGTGCTTGAGACAATGGTTACCCCAGTGACCCCGATTTGATCATTACGCATTGTATACCTGTATAAAAACATCACCTGTACTCCATAAATATGTATACCTGTTATATATCCAAAATAATTAAAAATTTAAAAAAAGACATCAAATAGGGGGCAATTAAATCAAAAGTTTTGATTAACTTTTGCTACATAAAAAACCGTGCCCAAACTTACTGGTTTAAAACTACTAATTTATTTAGTTCAGGAGTTTGTGGATGGCCGAGTCCAGGTTGCTACTGCTGATTTCTACAGGGTCCCCCATGCATGTGTGGTCATTCATAATGGGCAGCTGGTGGTTGGCTGGTGGCTGGTAATGCAGGATGGACTCATTCACGTGTCCAGTGGTTTCTGTAGTCAGATAGAAGACTCCTCCAGTATACTAGCTTGGGCTCATTAACAGGGTGTTCTCAAGGTTCCAAGTGCAGCAAGAGTGGACAAGTCCTAACGCAAAACTACTTTTCAAGTCTCTGCTTGATATGTTTGATAATATTCCATGAGCCAAGGCTTGCTGCAGAACAAAGTGGAGAAACAGATGCCATAATTTGATTAGAGGAGCTACCGATTCACCTTGCAAAGTGACATTCATGTGAGAATGGGAAAAATACATGGCCATGTTTACAAATGTACCAGAATATACAAAGCAGTGAGCAAAGACGTAGTTTTGACGGAGTAGAGTTTATGTTGAAAAGAAGTGGAGAAATATAGTCAGGTGTCCTTGATTGAGTGAGCTATTGGAGGGATTTTGTCAAAGGAAAGAGGAGGTGGTTAAATTACCATTTTATTAATATTAATCTAAAAGTTGGGTTGAGGGTATCTTGGAAGAGAGAGAATATAGGAAAACACCCCCTGTTTGTGAAAGTAGCTAACAGTGGCACACACAATCACTGGCAAATCCCAAATATGTATTTTACAGAAAGGTAAGGCAAGGGAATCAGTGACTAGAGAGCGTTGTAAACAGATTTTGAGGTTTTTTTTTTTCAATGAGAATAAGTAGATAAGATCCTCTTAAAAAGAGCTCATGTTGGAAAGAGATAGCTGACAAATTGTTTTCCTATCTTAATCTGAATCTAGATGTAAGGTGGTAAGGACATGCCTTGTGTTAATGGCATAAGAGTTTTTTTTTTAACTGCCAGGTATGATAAGTAATTTAGAACAAATTATTGGGTTACTTTGATTATGATGAATTTGTGGGTTAAGGGCACTAGTAAAGGAAATAAAAAAGATAACTTTAAGGTTTCAATTCTTGGTGAGAAGAAGACTAGTAATATGTTAACAGATACAGAGAAGGAAGAATCCAGTCTGGGGTACAGTTTTGCTTGGACACATTAATCTAAGTAGATGGCATTTTATTGAATTAATCTTGTTCAGTACAACGTGGAATATGTGGGCACAAAGCTTGAGACAGGGCCAGGAATATATGGATAAACATATATTCAGTTCATCTTCCACATAGAGGTGATCAGATAGTGTAATAATTGGATGAATTGTCTGAGACAGCATATACAGAGGAAAACACAGGGTGTTTTTTTTTATATGAACCTTAAAGGATGATCATTAGGGGAATGAAAAGAGTAAACTAATCAGAAAAATATGAAGAACAGAGAAAAGAGTGATTAAAGAATTGGGAGTCAGGGGAGATAATATAATATCAGACAGCACAAATTAAGAAACCGTTTGAAAACAATTTTCTGGGTTTTTTTTTTTTTTATAATCGAGAGTATTTGAAAGCAGAAGTTAAATTGTGTTGTTTTACAGGACCAACAATAACAAACAAAAGAGGTTGGCATGAGGTTGTCAGCAGTGCTAATGAGCAGTCTAGAAAGATGAGGGAAATGACAGTAATAATTGCAATAGAAGGTAATTAAGGCCAAACTCCCAGTTGCCAGATTCTTCTTGCATCAAGGGGAAGATTGAACCATGAAACCCTCTGTGTTTTGGCTTATCAAGCAGGCTTGCCATTGCACCATTTGATACAAAGCAACTGGACATTTGAAGATTGAAGTTAAGAAAGTTATCTGACCTTGGCAGATAAAGTGTGAAGAGTCAACATTGTCTTCATTAATTTTGTTCTCACTTTCTGCTTTTAAAAATGATGCACAAGTTTATTTCCTAGTGTTGGATGTGTGTCCAGTGTTTGCTCTGCCATTTGTTGATTATAAGTTATAAAGTTAGTGGAAACAAACTGATGTCCATGTTGCATTGTGGTCATTGTGAATAGGGTTGCCTACAGTTGGGCGGCATAAAATGGGTGACCATTTGCAGCATCTTAGGGTGGAAGGGAATCATTCTGAATGACTCATACTCCAATGTGGGGAAAAGACAGATGGAAAGAAAAAAAAAAACAGGCATTGTGTTTTTTCCCAAATATTTATTTTCAAAGGTAAAGCAAAGGAATCAGTGACTGAAGAGACTTGTAACGAGATTTTGAGAATATTTTGTTTGGAGGAGAGTATAAGTAGATGAGATCGTCTCAAAGAGAGCTCATGTTGGGGAGAGGTAGATGACAAGGTGGGAAACCAAATATACAGGTCTCCCAAATGTCAGAATATTCAGCTTGGATATCATCAATAGGCTACATAGAAACTTGAGAGATAGTAGCATCTTCAGGAGAATTTAGAAGAGTGAAGGGAAGCAGTTAGGGGATGCTTTTGGGAAAAATAATTACTTTTTTTTTTAATCTTAAGAGTTATGTACAAGTAAAATAGCATCAACTTATCTGATCTGCTTAGCCAAGGTAAATATCCTGAGATGAAGTAAATCTGCGTTGTATGTCCTTCAGATTTATTTTGCAATTTATTTTTGGATTACCAGGGACATTTTTGTAAATTGAGTATTATTCACATGAATTCTGATTTTTCATTCTGGTAATATAAGAAAACTTAAGTACACATACTGTATAAAACTCAACTATTATTTAAAATGAATTTACACTGATCAATGCCAAGAATATTGTCTTAGTATGTTCTTATTCTTCTACTTAAAATTAAGTGAAATAAGTATGTCAAATTTTTGTTGGCTTGTTTAATTTGAGAAGACAAGTTTTCTTTGAATTGATATGAACATATCAATGGCTAATCAGTTTAAATAGCAATCATTACTGAATATATGGGAACTTAATTATTGTACAGTAGTGCCATGTCAAGTGTGAAAAAGCATTAAAATATACTAGGATGTGTCAACAGACAATGTCAGAAAATGCAATGGACTAAGAACCCATTAATCTTTGTATTTTTAACCACTTTACTTGGACAAATCATCAAATCTCAGTGATAACTTGCAAAATATGCAAATTAGTAATATTGCACTTCCAAGCAAGCCATGACATATTCTTGGCCTATTTGCACATTCACTGTATTCAACACAACTTACCATCAGGGTTGCTGTTGTCGAGTACAGATTCTAGAGCCTCTCGACTGAAATTCTGGTGATGATATGGGTGGGTGGTAAAAACTACATTGTCTATTTCAGCAATATCATCTAGAGTTATCTTACTTCATTGCAATGTTTTATACTTTATAACACAGCTTAGTTCATTGGGCAAGCTTGTCTTAGAAAACAGTCAAGCTTCATGCATGAAAGAATGGAAAGGCCAATTTTAATGCAAAGTTTCAGAACTTTAATAGTTCTTAGCATTGCCAGGATAGATTGGATCTGAGTTAACAGCTGAAGTGGTGGCTCTGTGGGCAATGAGGGAAAGAAGGAAATGCCTATGGAGGTTGGGAGTAACGCAAGTGTTACAGTCTCACCAATGCACCACAATGTAGCAGTCTCACATTGTGAGGTATCACCTGGAGGTCTTTGTCTCAGGACCAAGAGAAATAAGGAGTACGGACAGAGGGTGAGGCTGGAGTGAAAGTATAATAGGCGAAAGAAGAAAGCTCTCTGCAGCAGAGAGGGGGGCCTGAATGGGTTGCCATTTTTATAGTTGAATGCAGAGGCTTTTATAAGAAACCAATGAGGGCTGGGTGTCTCATTTGCATGAGGCACAAATTTCTGGTAGCTCCACCCCATCCTCCTAGTGTGCATGCGGACTCTTAGCTTGAGTTACTCCATGTTGCTTTGTTCCCCTTACTGTGCATGTGTTAGGGAACAAAATTTTCCATTGCAGGCATGTCTGGGCAAATCACCTGTGTAGCCTTTCTTATCTGTGTGGCTATGACTATGTCTTAGGCAAGCCCCTCTGTGCAATTTCCCTTATCTGTACCTGCAGCCTGACTTTTTAGGCTGTTTGTTTGTTTGAAAGAATTCGACCAAGGATTCACCCTAACTGCCTGCCTGACCAATTTCTTCCTTTCTTCTCTCTCACAAGGTGCCTACTTTAGAGTTCTGAAATAATTTTATAATCCGAAATAAAAAACATATTGATGGTAGGAAGTCAACACTTAGGGATTTTTTTTTTTTTTTTTTTGAGATGGAGTCTCGCTCTGTCCCTCAGGCTGGAGTGCAGTGGCAACTGCAACCTCTGCTCCCAGGTTCACGCCATTCTCCTGCCTCAGCCTCCCGAGTAGCTGGGACTACAGGCACCCGCCACCATGCCCAGCTAATTTTTGTGTGTTTGTGTGTGTGTGTGTGTGTGTGTGTGTGTGTGTGTGTGTGTGTGTATTTTTAGTAGAGACGGGGTTTCACCATGTTAGCCAGGATGGTCTCGATCTCCTGACCTCGTGATCCACCCACCTCGGCCTCCCAGAGTGCTGGGATTACAGGAGTGAGCCACCGTGCCCAGCCCCATTTAGGGATGTTTTTAGAGCTGTCAGTTCTATCCATCTCTCACTATGTCTGATACAAGCACATATATGCTATATACTCACACTCATACACACACACACTCCTAGATACACACACACCCTCTTTAATGGTTAGAGACTATAAAATAAATATTGTTGCTACCCTTATCTCTTCACCACCCCTCTCCCCAAATTCTTCAGCTAAGCTTTTATTATGAACTCCATTCCAAAAGCTAGATGGGAGAGAAAATTTTCTGCTGTTAAATGGAATCATTGTCTCCTATTTCCAAGCAAAGGTAGAGGAGGAAATAAATGCAGTCTGTTTTTTTAAGTCATTTTTTTCTGACAGTCTCTGAAACTTATTGATAAGAACACTGTGTCTTGAGGGCTGTATTTTTTGCATCTGTTCTTTCCATAGTTTCTATAAGAGACACAATATTTCTATATATTTCCACCTTAATTAAAACGGGGCCTTAAAAATGAGAGAGGGGTAAGGAAAAAGTAAAAGTAAAAATTAATTTTAATAAGAGAATAAATAAAAAGAGAGAGAAAAATAAATTGACTTGGCCAGAGAAGCAAAAATCAGAACACATGGTGATTGGGGAAGCCAAAAAGAAATAAAATATGAAGGTTTGCAAGCTTTGGCCAAAAGCTACAAGACAAGTCTAAATGATACAGGTTTTTTGGTTTTCAAGGCTCCTACATTCACTCAGAAGCTTCTGTATCCTTTTTTTATTCTCCTAAAGGAAAAAAACAACAACATTTTGATGGATTGATTGCTGTGATAATTGCATCCCAAATGCAAAGCCCTCTTTTCCCAAGTTAGAGGGAAGTAGGGCCATGGCCATGCAAATGACTTGGGGATAGCTGGCTCCTAGTCAAAGGTATTTCGGGTCAACGTTAAACTCCCCCAGTCTCCTGAAAACATAGAATTTACACCATTTCCTCTCTACATGCATTTCTTTGGGAAAAGATGCACAATTCTGTGTCTATGTGCTCACACGACCTATAACCTAGGAGTATTATTTATCACGGATTCCCTCCTTGATTCTGAAATATTTCTAAGATTCAGGCTTATAGAAACATTGTCAGAGAGAAGACATCTTAGTCAATTCTACTAAACTACTTACAACAAATAGGAAAGGAGTGGTGAGAGAGTACAATCACACCAGTCCAGCAGTGCAACGGGTCTTGCCTTTTAGTGTTACTAGCTAAACATGAAACTGATGATATCTCACATCTACAATTTTTTCATCATATATACACAATATAATATCCATATGAATATTAGTGTTGAAAAATGTGATTAAATACGTGAAGAGAAAAGCATTCAGCTAAGTTCAAAGAAAATATGTTCTGGAAACTGGAGGATATTATAAGTAATATTTCCTTTAATATTTTATATAGGCAATGTAAGAAAAGAACTGAGGCAGCTAGATATTGAAAGCTGTTGGCAAAAGAGCTCTAAATTGTCCATGCTAAATTCCTAATACATCAGATTTCATAGAAAATTATTTTTCCCTTTACCCTAATAATCTGGATTTTTGTGCTTTTTCCTTTTAACAAAATAAGACTTCCATCCCAAAGGAAACAAGCTGACCTGAAATTTTTAGTTCATTGGAATCGATCTCTGAAAGGAGCTACATTGTCTCTCAGACCAAAAGTAGAACATAAAATTCATGCTGGCTCATTAAAACACTAGATGTTTCAAGCCCCATCTGTAATGATGAGAAGTAGTGATCAATGTGATTGCAATGTGCACTTAATGATTTTGCATGTGGCATGGTTTGGAGACATTGGAAATACTTCAAGATTGTTTTGAACCGTAAGATTTCAGACTGTATCCCTGTTTCTATTACACAGTGTAATTGAAATGGGTGATGATCTAGGTAGGAGAGGAGAAGCTAGCAATGTGAGTTTTCCCCCCATTGTGGGCTTTTTGGGTTTCAGCAGCCCAACACTCTCAGTCCCTAATGTGATTCCCAAAGATACTGAACATAAGCCACACCACTATCTAGTGTTAACACCCGGAGATGATACAACCAGAAAATGTTTCCTTTTGGAAAGCCTCTGAGGATCCCAATTACTCTGAATCAAGAGAGAAGTCAGTCAGGCTTGAAGTAAGGGGCTTGCATTTAAAATCAGCAGAGAAGGAAAAGTGTGATGAACAGATAAAGTTTCTTGGCTTGTCAGAGCTGCTGAAAACTATTACTGTCAAACTTACCACCTCCCTTCAGCCCCTCCCTTCTCTTTTACGGTATCTATAGGAAATGCAATCAGATCCATTCCTCTTCATCTTCCTACAAGAGCATGAGGTCACTTATTGACATTCTCTAAATTTCAACTCAAGAAGTTATTTTTCAGGACAGGATCCTAAGGAAGCTCCTACATCTCTCTTCATTCAGAATTAAATCTCAGGAGGTGCTTTTCGGGGAGCAAAAAAGAAGAAATGCCTGCAGCTGTGTTTGCTGCCAAAAGACTTAATGAAAGATTGCAGGAGCCACAGCCTCTTTAATTGAGTTTCAGCTTATTTCACACATGGGAGTCCAGTTGTCACAAGGGAATTAGAAACAGATGCATTGCCCTTCATGGCTCTGGAGGCCACTGAAGTGGAGGATGAGAAGAGCATTATTCACAAAGATTGTCCATGCCTCCTTAGGAAGGGTGAGATGGCTGGAGTTCTTGAGCACCAAGTTACATTTCTAGGATGCTTTTGACAGTCTAGCCAGTCAAATACTGTTCGTTCTTTAAACATTTCCCCCTAGTGGTTGTAGTAAGAAAATGTATAGCTATGCTGAGTAAATAATTAAATCCGTACCTTCTAAAACCAACGATCCATCTGGATCCTTAACAGACTTTGATCTCTTTGGTCAAGTAGTTTATTATTGATTATGTTTTGTGGTTTTGTAAAATAATTTTTAAATGTTTAATTATGATAAAAAACACATAACATAGAATTTACCATTGTAACCATTTTTAAGCATATAGTTCAGTAGTGTTAAGTATATTCATATTACTATGCAACAGATGTCCAGAACTTCTTCAATTTACAAGACCGAAACTTCATATCCATTGAACAATAACTCTCTTTTTCCTTCTGCCCCTATCTCCTGGCTACTTTCTGTTTTTATGTGTTTGATTGCTCTAAATATCTCATGCAAGTAGAATCATACAATATTTTTCTATGTTCTGTGATTTTACTTAACTAGTTGATAAGTAGCTAATACTTACCTAACACTAATTCCACAAAGATTGAGTTTTTACATTCTAACTACTATAGTATCCTGATAAATAAGTTTCAGCCCTTATGAAACTTGCAATCTAGTGGAGAAAATTGATATTTGAACAGTGACTACAATGCAATGTAATATACACTGTAATGACATATGCACATATAGTAATATCACTTTGATTAATAATCTTAATTTTATCACTAAAATTCTTTCCACCCATGTTTCAACTCCAAATCAGAAATTTTTATTTCCACGTTCTTGCCACAGGTCTTATACCCTGAAATTTAAGATCATATTTAAATTCTTGTATTTAAAAATGTAAAGGTTACTTTTTATTTTCCATACTTTGTGCATCGACTTGTAATATCTTAAGTCATAAGTGTTGTTTGTCACTTTTTATTTTTAGAGAATCTTATGAAAAGTCCCCTTTCCACCCTTTTTTCTACTTTATCTATCAGTTCTGTGGTTCTCTGATATTTTATAAACATTCTTCTTCATCCTTATGAGATTTCAGTATAAAGCTCACTCAGTCATATCCAGAGGACTTCTGCCAGGCATTCTTCCCAACTCTGTGAGATGTATTGTATCATTTCAAACATCCATATTTTTGATATTAAAAGTTGCTGTTTGGTATTTTTAAACACCCACATAATAATCTTCACTTTGAATATCTGCATTTAAAAATCTCTTCCAAACAATAATCTTGAAATTTAGATAAAAATTATACTTGTACTTTTATAATTTCTACTCAGGTTTTTAAAAAATAAAAAAAATTGGAATTCTTTAATGGACTCTAAATATCATTGGCATCAATGCTCTCATTTTGAAAATAAGAAAAATGAAGCCTGGAAATAGGAAATGATTTGTCCAAGGCCAAGTCATTAAATATACATTTTAGAATTTTTTTCTGGCTCAACTATTTTTTCTCATTTGAATCAACAGAAGTGGGTAGCAATGGAGAGTTTGATGAGTCTTGGGAGGCACAGCATCACCTTTGGATAAATGCTCTGGGAAAATAACAAACCTCTCAATCAGCCTTGTCAACCTACATAAAAGACATTTCTACAAGTGACTGTCTTCATATCTTTCTCCTAAGGTCTGTAATAAGATGCCTTGAATTTATTAGTGCCTATAAAATTTTCATTATATAATGTGGCTCATGGGAAGTAGCTGCTTCTCTAACTACTATGGGAAGAGACACATAATAGCTTTATGTTAGGTGAGACAGATATTTTTTCTCCCTATCGTCTATGTCATGTCCTTCCTCTAAAACACTCTAAATCTCCTTTACCCATTCATGCATTCATTCCACAAGTGATCATTGAGCTCCTAACGCATTGCAGACACTTTATTTGGCACTGGACATAAAATAGTGAATAAGATAGACTTGGTCTCTGCATTCAAGTTTCTGCTTTCAAAACAGTCTAACACGACTATTATTTGTCTTTTCTACCTGTATTGTTTCTTGTAGGTAGCCTACAAAGAGTTTGTTTTTTTTTTTAAGTAAGTGAGAGGGTAGAGAAATATTCCTCATGCTTTTTTCCTATGCCCTCACATAGAAAGGACAGCTCATGGAAGAAAACTAATGTGATAGAAATGCCCTCAAACACAAAAATGAGTTCCTTATTTATTCCCAAGATTGGAAATTTTATTTTATTTTTATTTATTTTTATGAGATGAAGTCTTGCACTGTTGCCCAGGCTGGAGTGTAGTAGTGCGATCTCAGCTCACTGCAACCTCCACCTCGCGGGTTCAAGCGATTCTACTGCCTCAGCCTGCCAAGTAGCTGGAATTACAGGCATGTGCCACATGCCCAGCCAATTTTTGTATTTTCAGTAGAGACAGGGTTTCGTCATCTTGGCCAGGCTGGTCTCAAACTCCTGACCTTAGGTGATCCGCCCACCTCAGCCTCCCAAAGTGCTGGGATTACAGGCATGAGCCACTGTGCCCAGCTGCAAGATTAGAAATTGAACGAAGGTTCTCTGTTGTTAGCTCACGCCTGTAATCCCAGCACTTTGGGAAGACGAGGTGGGCAGATCACCTGAAGTCAAGAGTTCGAGACCAGCCTGACCAACATGGCAAAACCCTGCCTCTACTAAAAATACAAAAATTAGCCAGGCATGGTGGTGCATGCCTGTAATCCCAGCTACTCAGGAGGCTGAGGCAGGAGAATCGCTTGAACCCAGGAGGTGGAGGTTGCAGTGAGCCAAGATTGCACCACCGTACAACCGGCCTGAGCGAGATTCTGTCTCAAAAAACAAACAAAAAAAGTTCTCTATTGTTAAAATTACCAGCATGAAGGTCAACTAACTGTTTTTTTTTCCTGGGAGCGGGGAGAGGAGTTCCCTTCCCATGCTTGTTCATTTGTGGAGTGCTTATGTGTTCAGTAGTCCATAAATTATTAACACGATCTGTAGGTGTAATATGTCAATCTAGCCAACTAATATGTACCATTGTTTCTAAAACAAGCCTGGAACTTAGCAAATATTTAATAAATACCGTAGAATAAGTGAAAAAAATGAATGAATGAACTTCGGGAAATACTGGTTGCATACAGACTGGTCATTTTTCTTTTTCATTCCTCATTTCTAGAAACTGCCCATTAACCTGAAAAGGGTTAGTAATTAGATTTAATTTCCATGAACCTTGCTATAATTATAGCCTTGTTAAGGAAAATGGTTTTGAGGAGTCTTTCTGAAAAATTCAATGATGTTTCTCTTACATTCTAGTACTTTATTTTCTACTCACCTTCTTTTCCCTAGGCAACTGCCATCCTCAGAGTCCTGACATGTGCCCAACTTTATGGAGCCCACCTGGAGGCATCTCAGCAAAGCTTGCTTTAGGGCAGGGGCTGGAATGGGGGCTGTTATTATTGCAAAGCGAAGTTTGCTTTTGTATAGCTGCCACCCACAGTCGAGTACATATTCTCACTTTGTGCTTCATTTCTCTGCCTGGATGATGGACTAGTTTAGAGAGGGCATGAGGAAATGAATAAAGAAATATATTGGATTAATTTTTTTTTCATTTAGTAATTACTGCACTGCAGCAAACAGAACTGGGTCTGAGTGAATGTTGACATCTAATTTTCAGGTTTTGAATTGCTTGGAGAAAAAGCAGATCTCACTGTTTTCATCTACTAACTTTTCACTGTGAGGTAATTATGCAGAACAGAGTATGGTCTTGGGCACTGTTTAACACAAGCAGGTCATAACTAGACAGAAAATGGACCCTTGCTTTTAGAATAGGAATAATTAAAGGTTCATAATCTTGGAGAAGCAATGGTGGTGTTGTTTAACAGACATACACTTGCAGGGAATTGCCTGCTTGAAAGGCACACATTTTACCACTCTAGGGCATTCATAAACTGGCAACATAGTTTTGAAGCAAAGCCTCTCTTATCTAACCCTTTGTCCCGTTGTTGGAGGTACATTTCCATCTTCATGAGCTACACTATGCTTTATGAGCATTTTGTGGATTATGTGTTATTATTTCACGTACATGTTTTTCTCAGGTTCCAAATGAATGAAAATATTGGGAAAATGGAAATCTAAATGAAAAGTAGCATGGAATGATGGAGCTGATGTTTTAGGGCTGTGAAAAGTGTCAATGATCACATTTTAATTTCTTTTTTATGCATTGCAAAGTATTAGGCAAAATGTACAATAAGAAGGGACAGTCCCCACAATACTGCCAAAACTGAAGACAACAGCCACAAATCCATCGGTCTTCAGGATCGCCGTCACTTCAAACTGGCCACAAGTTCAGGGATTTCTATGGATGACCATTATCAAGTTTGGTAACTTAACAAGAATAATTCACAGGACTCAGGAAAGTGCTATATTTATGACTGCAGCTTTATTATACTGAAATAACGTAACTTAGAACAACCCAAATGAAAAGATGCTGGGAGGGTTCAAAATGCAAACATAGGGCAGAATCTGGGAGGGTTCAAAATGCAAAGTTTACATTGTCCTCAGGAACATATTTTCTTCCCAGCACTGATGTGTGACAATATGCAAGGAATATTGTCAAACAGGGGAGTTCACCTGAGCTTTGGTTTCCAGAATTTTTGGGGGGCAGGGGGTGGTTATTACATACACATGATTATTTATTTGAATTATTGCCTATGTGGGTGAACTCAGTCTCTAGCCTCCCATCCCCATGCCCTGAACTCCAACGCTTTAATCACGTGACTGGTCTTTCTGACATGGTTGGATCTCAGCTTGAGTCACCTCATTAGTATAAAGTTTCTAGGGCTCCACCATGAGTTGCCATGTTAGCATAAACTATTGGGTATGATTGAGGGGCCCACGATCAATAACAAAGACACACCTATCTTTCAGGAAATTACAAGGGTTTAGAGGCTGCCTCCTAAGAGCAAGGGTAATGAATAGATTTCTATTTTAGATGAGGCCAAATTTCTTACTACATAAATGCAAGCCCAGATTGCTACTTTGCTTTAAGGAATTCAAGCAAGTTAGAGGAAAGAACTGGATCTCAGGGAAATACCTCCTGGCTCCTTGTCCAGAATTTTTTTTCCCTACTGCCCAAAATTATAACTAGGATGTGAGATTTACTCCATGTCAGCTGTTACAGGAAACTATCCTGAAAAATACACAATTTATAAGGCAATGATAGGATGATTCTTGATTTTAGACCTGTCAGACTTAATTTCCATACAATGACCTCATCCGAGTTTGAGTGGGAGCTAATAATCAGGACAAATCTATTGGTAAAGAGATAAGGGTGATGAGTGGAGAAGTAGAAGATAGGTGGGCTTGGGAACTAAAGAACAACACAGGATTTGGGGAAAGATTAAAAAAGGGGTAGTACAGGAAATTAGAGAAGATTTAGCTTTAAGGAACCTAAGAGGATTTTGAGCAAGTGTAGTTGAAGATGACATTAGAGTTAAGTAACGGGATGGAAGACTTCAGAATTTAAGAATAGTTCAACAAGAAGTTTCTTCATCTTGTGTCTTTATTCGTTTAATGTAGGCAAATGGGTAATCTTAAAAATCCTTGCATCATAGTAGAATATCTTTCATCCTAGTAGGTTACTACAAAAACACATATATTTCATGCTATTTTTTGTGTAAGAAAAAAGGGCAAATAAGAAAACATGCACACATTTGCTTATTTTTACAAAAGAAATATAGTTGATATAAACTGAACAACCAAAGATGTTGTTTATAAGGCATTGGCAGGAGGAACAAAATATAAGGGATAAAGGAGAAAGAGACACTTCTTTGGCTATAATTTTTGGTACAGTTTTAACTTCTGGAAACTTCTACATATTCAAAAATAAAAATTAAATAAGAATAGGAAGAAGAAAACCAATGACTAGCTGCAAACAGAAACAATTTCCACTGTCTTTTAAATGAACGGCATAAGGACATTTAGAAGAAAAAACAAAGCAATAATGTAAGTGCTTTAAGTTTATTATATAATTATCAAGATGTAATTTACATATAATAAAATTATCATTTTACCTTATTCATTTTATTTAGTTCATGTATAATTTACTTGGTACAATATTTGTAAGGGAGACAGAAAATAGATAAAAAGAAGTGGCAATAACAAGTCATTCTGTAAAGACATACCAACTAAAACAACATGTTAAAGTTTGCCTTTAAATTTTTTGTGGTGTATCAAAAAATACCATTTGTCCTAGATTTCTCAGGGCAGTGATTGTTTCAAACAGTTTATTACATGGTAAGTGTATTTTTCTATGTTTATACTTGGACAATATGATTGCCATAAGCATACTTTTATTCATTTAATAATAAAATGAGCTGTTTGGGGAACCAAGATTTGTGAATGGTTGATTTTCTATAAGTGTTGGTTTAGTCAGCGTGAGCTGTTATAACAAAATTCCATAAGCTAGGTGGCTAAAACAACAGACATTTATTTCTCACAGTTTTGGCATCTTTGAAATCTGAGGTTAAGGTGCCTGCTGATTTAGTTCCTAGTGAGGAGCCCCTTCCTGGCTTGCAGGCGGCCATCGTCTTGCTGTGTTCTCACATGGCAGGAGTGAGAAAGGTTGAGAACAAGTTCTCTGCTCTCCCAGGATGGCACTAATCCTGTTATGAGGATCCCACCCTCATGACTTCTTCTAAACCTAATTAATCTCTAAACCCCCACCTTCTAATACAATCACATTTGGGTTTGGGGCTTCAGCATATGAATTGTGGGGACACTCACATTTAGTCCATAACAAGTGTCTACAACTATGTATTAAATACAGTCTTGACTGATATCCTCAATCTAGAGGGAAAAACTGCAAACCAAATTCTTTTTATGTTGTCTAGCTTTTTGTTTTTGATAGGGATATGAGTATAACAATTCTTAAATTACTTTGTGTGCATTGTAGGACTGAGCAAATAAATATTAATAAATGTGATGATGTGGAAAACAATGTGATGAAAGGGACGTTGGAATAAAGGAAGGCAAAGAAGAGCACTATGGGGTTATATTGGAAAGGGAGATATCAACAGAAACATATATTTCTGTGTCCACCAAAAGGGCAAGACACAATAACATCCTCAGGAAGAATGAGCATACTTAATGCACAGATGTTGGTTTCTAAGTGTCATTCTTCACTAAATGAAACCAGAGATAATTGAAGATACGATTAATACCAGGACTGGGGCAGAGGAGGTGAAGCAGGATATTTCCCTGATCCCTTCTTAAGACTTGTGATAGGTGTGCCTTGTTTACTCAGCCCACTGCTCTCAACTTCTCCAGGGAGGGGGCAGGTGAGTGAATGAGTGCAGGAACAGGAATGAATGAGCACTGGAACCAGCCAAATGCTTTGGTGCCAGTGGGATCAAACTCCACTCACTTGGGCCTGCTGCCTTCCTCCCCTCATGGGATGGAGCATGCAGGTGAGTGGGTGCAGGAACTGAAGCAGCCGCTTTTGGGCACCGGCAGTAGCAAACTCTGTGCAGGCCCTGTGGCAGCATCCAGGCAGGGGTGTCTGTGACTCCTGAGGCCCCAGAGAGAATGCTATGGTGCTCTTTTAGCTCTGCCTTCCATGAACGGCTTAAGTGTTAACAGCTCAGTGGGCCTTTTGCTTTTCCGTGTGAGGCAGCTGCCCTCCACGAGTGAGGGCAAAGGGCCAGAGGCCAGTGTAACAGCCTTTTGTATCCACATTCGTGGCTCCCAAGCTCTTGCCTGGCATCCAGGAAAAATGAGGCCTTGTGAGTGAATTGAAGGATGGTAAATGAGGGGGATTTTATTGTTGATGAAAGTGACTCTCAGAGGGAAAGGGAGCTGAAAAGCAGATGGGGTGGGTAGGTAATCTTCCCCTGAAGTCCAGCCTTCTCCAGCTGGATTCTTCTTCGTAGTTACACTGTAAAGCTGTCTCTCTGAAGTCAAGCTGCTGCTTCTCTCCAATGTCTAGCTGTAGTCCTAGCTGCTGGCTGAGTCTGGGGTATTTATAGGCACAGGATGGGGGTGGGGCTGGGCCAGTGGTGGTTGAGGAGAAGGCAATATTCGAGTGGGAAAACAGAAATATAAGTTCTCACTTTGGGCCACAGTTTCAGGCTTTTTAGATTGAGGGTGGTGTTTTGTCGGGTTCCTGTTGTGTCCAGAGTTTGTTCCTTCTGGTGGGTTCATGGTCTTGCTGCCTTCAAGAATGGAGCCGCAGACCTTCACAGTGAGTCTTACAGCTCTTAAAGATGGCATGGACCCAAACAGTGAGAAGCAGCAAGATTTATTGTGAAGAGTGAAAGAACAAAGCTTCCACATCTTTGAAGGGGACCAGAGTGGGTTACCGATGCTAGCTGGGGTGGCCAGCTTTTTATTCCCTTGTTTATCCCCGCCAATGTCCTGCTGATTGGTCCATTTTCCAGAGTGCTTATTGGTCCATTTTACAGAGCGATGATTGGTCCATTTTACAAACTTCTAGCTAGCTACAGAGTGCTGAATGGTGTGTTCTTACAGAGCACTGATTGGTGCATTTTACAAACCTGTAGCTAGCTACACAGTGCAGATTGGTGCGTTCTTATAGAGCACTGATTGGTGCATTTTACAAACCTCTAGCTAGCTACAGAGTGCTGACTGGTGCGTTCTTACAGAGCACTGATTGGTGCATTTTACAAACCTCTAGCTAGCTATAGAACACCGATTGTTGCGTTCTTACAGAGTACTGATTGGTGCCTTTTACAAACCTCTAGTAAGACAGAAAAGTTCTCCAAGTCCCCACTTGACCCAGAGAGTCCAGCTGGCTTCACCTCTCACTGTCTTTCCACCTAGAATTTCTCTGCCCCCTGTTTCTATCAGAAGTATGAGTCTGGAACAGCTTATTGTTCAGGAAGTACTCAAGACAAAAACAGAAACAAAAAACCCCAAACAAATAAAAATCCCAAAGAGGTGTGTTAAAAGGACACAGAAGCCAGCTTGCATGCATGTAGGTAATACCTTCATCAAAATTTAAGGAGTATAATGGGTTAAAACACAGTGAGTAACAGGAGTTCATGATTGCATACTGATAAACAATAAACAAATAAATAAATGGGGAATAGGGGAAGGCTCTTCCTAACAGTAGACTAGCAACTGATAAATGTGAAAAGAATAGTGGAATTGGAAAAACATCATTTTGCAACCATCACAGAACAAATTGCTATAGGCAAGAATCATTCATGGATACTAAGTCTAGGAAGAAAAACTTGGTGAGGAACAGTGCATTTGTATAATTTAAACTATTTCCCCCCAGATTGCTTATTAGCTGCAAGGGGCAATGTAGTTACTATACAGTGGAGAAATTGGACAACACTTTGACCTGGGAATCCAAATTAACATCACTAATAACTGGGAGATGAATAAGATGCCTTCAGATGTGATACCATAGAAAGAATATATCACTTATGTCATATTCCACCTGGGCATATATTACTTGAATAGAATTAAAAGGAAACATCAGATGTGACAACTAAATGCAAAGAATGACCATGAACTGCTGGATCTTATACTGAAGGGAAAAAAATGCTACAAAGGGCAGAACTGGGTCATTTGAAAAAATTGGTAGATAAGATGTAGATTAGACAGGCATTGTATCAAGGTTAATTTTCTTGAATTTGAAATGTACATATGTATATGCATTTAATATTATAATATTTATTTTAATATTAAATTATATAATTTAATGACAAAAAGAACAAAGGTAGCAAAATAATACAAATTGATGAAACTGGGAAAGGGTATACAGAAGTCCTCTATACTCATTGAGCAACCATTACAAGTTTGAAATTATTTCAAAATTAGAATTTAAAAAATGATGGACTTTTATGAATTCTTTACTATACAGGAGAATGCCCCAGGAAAATAAAGAAAGGGCTAAATTTCCAAGGAATGAGTCCTTAAATTGTTGGCTTGCAGCAAGGTAGATGGAGATCTCTTATTTCATTACTTTAAAGATCCCTGTTTGGATGGACCTCTAAAATCTCTTCTTTTCACATTAGATCGGCTGCCTTTTGTATTTCTTGTCTCTCAATTCCTTTTTTGCCTTTTAGCACAGTGATTTGTGGGCATGTGTGTGCTTCCCCATTTGTTTACCCTGAATTATTATAGTCCAGTGGAGGGCCCCAGAAGAACACAAGTGTACAAATGCCTCATAGCTTGAGCAGATTCCCAGGTCATTCTTCTTCAGTGGCTCTTTTCCCTTTCAGCCCCAAATCTGCTTTTTTTTTTTTTTTTTTTAACTCAACCTAAGGAACCAGATGGCTCTCTGCACCTCCAAGGGGCCTCCACTCTGGTGAGAACTCCCTTTACATCTTGTACGGATGATGAGGATTAACAATCCTGACCAGACAAATTATATATTGCCTCGTATTTGTGATGTCACCAGCAGCTAAGATAACTTTAAGGATTTCATTTTATTTACTCTGTCATGGTCTTTGAAAGGTAGATATGGGACATGTACCACAAGGTTCTTCCTTCAAGAGAATCAGTTTGTGCCCAGATATATATTATGTGCACTATTTGCCAATCTTGCAAAGGCTTTTCTGAAAAGAGACACTTTAATCTGTTTGATGGCAGAGCTTTCCCCTGAAAAGTCCTTTTTGAAGTTACAAGATAATAATTTTAAAAAGCCATTAGAAATATGCATCCATCTCAGGCCACCATCAATATAATACCCCATAACCATCTACTGGAGTTTTCATATGTACATATGACTTCTAGGGTGTGACTGTGTGTGTGTGTAAACGCGTGTGTACATTTATGTTATAATTGTCCCAGAAATGATTTTAACATGATTACTCTTTGAGAAAGATGATGCGATTGTGAAATACATACAACTCTTGCTATGGATTTTTCAGAGGTTAGATGTTTCCAAATGCTGGACAATTGTAGAGCTGAGAGGAACCTGAGACACTGCCACATCTGATACATTCCATTCTAGCAGGATCCTTTAAAAAGTAATCCATGAAGATTACACCATGTATGATTCTAGAGATTGAGGAGACAATGAGAATGCAGTGTGAAAAGGAAAGTCATCACCAATATAAATGAGTATGTTTAGTCTTAACAACTTCCTTTTTTTTTCATATATCTCATTGGGGACCTCAAGCATTGTTACTCAAATTACTTATTCTTCATTTTGATCATAACTTATTAAGAGCATTGATTTTTCTTTCTGCCTTCTTTGACTCCACTTCTATTTTTTTACTTTTTCTTCAGCCTGATTCAATTGCCATGTATTTTTTCTTCTCAAACCCTTTGAGTGTCGTTTGAGAATATATCATCCTAACCAACTGTTTTCCTTCTTTCAGATTTAAGCCTGAGTCTTTGAATCTGACCCTAAGTTTCTCAACTGTTAGTTGAGAAAGATATAACAAGAATGCTGTGATCTTGGAGTAACTTCAAGCCTTTCATTTCTAAAGTTATTACATGTAGTTATTTTAACAGGGCTTCAAGATCGTAGTCCTTAAACATTTTCCCCTGTAGGTTATGCTGTGAATTTTTATTTCTTATTTTGTGGCCTCAAATTTTTCCATTGAGTTTTGTTAAAGGAATGAGTGTGGGATGTTTATTGATGGTGTTCAAAAGCTAATCTCTCCATAATGCAGTACACTGCTACCAAGAGAATACAGAATCCTGGGTTCTGGGATTTTTGTGGGCAAAAATAACTGAGAGACAGAATTTAGTACTATTTCCCACTTAATTTTTCTTTACATAGCATAACATTACATACAGCCAGTCTCAGACTGTAATAATTCAAGAAAATTGTTGCTTTATCAGTGCTAGGTGTTGAACCAGTTTGCTACTAAATTTTACAAATGTTTACTGAGCACTAAAATTATGAAGCACTGTTTTAGGTAGAAACTAGATGGTGGGAGATGTAGTGGTCAATGAAACACTGCTCTCATGAAGCTTATATGCCATAGAATAGGACAAATAAAATACACTGACAAACAGACAATGAATAGGGTAGCTTTAAGGAGTTATAAATTCCATGAAGAAAAACGACAGAAGGGGATATATAAGAAAGTGACATGGTGGGGTAGGGTGGGGGCAGTGGTTTGATTTGGTATGCAGGGAAAGCCTCTTGAAGAAAGTATCTTCTGAATTGAGCCCTGGATACTAAGGGTGCTGCCACTGAGATAGTGTGAGTGTAGACACAAAGGTCCTAAAGCTAGAAAGAGGTTGGTGCATTTGAAGAACAACAATTAAGACCAGGGTACAGAGGGTAGGCAGCAGGAAGAGAAAGTGGTAGGAGATGATGTCAGAAAAGGAGACAAGGATATTGGATATGGTAGACCAAGATGAGGAATTCACCATTTGTGATTTCATGCTTATTTTGAATCTATAAGTAGCAGATACATTGGGAGAGGAGAGGTAATTGAATAAAATGGATGAGAGAAGGTGAGTTACTGATCTAAGAGAAGAGCTGTGGTAATAAGCCATAGAGCAATGTAAGTTTTTGGTAGGCCCTTTACCTGAAACCACTAGAGCTAGTATATGAGGAATTTTGTTTTTGTTTATTTTTTTAAGAAGGGTGGGCGGTGGTTGAAGATGTCATGTCACTATTTTGAGCTCTAGATGGCCCTCCCACAGGCTAGGATCCAACAGCCCAGCCTACCCTCACACCCAAGGGGTGTGTGGTAGATGGATATCCATTATTCTTTTTTTAATTGTCACAGGATGACTTTTCCTGAAGCTTTCATAGGGTAGAAAGAATTTATTTAAATAAAATTCCATTCATCATGCTTTTGGAAGAGAAAAGTGGTAATGATAATCCCAAATGGCAACTAATACAAAATTTCATCTATATTTGGTTCTTAATTATATGACATTATATTGATTTGGCATCAGGTTTTACCTCTTCATCATTTAGTAGCTGCATAACACTGGCCAAGTTCCTTAACTTCTTTAAGACTTATTTTCCTCTTCTGCATAACTAGGATAATAATACTCACTTGATAGTATTATTGAGAGAATTATGTTAAACAAGATAATATATGCAAGGCACTTAGCACAGTGCCTGTTACCTAATGACCACTGTGCACAGTTACAGAAGTTAGCAACAATAATAACCACTCACATTTGCATAACATTTAAATTTTACAAAACACTTTCACATACATTATGCCATTTGATGCTTACAATAATTCTGTGAGTATATATTACTTACACAACGCCAAGCAGTTTTATGTAGTCAAAGCTGATTTTGATATACATTTCTACAGCTAAAGAATAGAAATCTATTAGAGAAAAGGAGACAAAGGAGGCAGGAATAATGGCCTAGAAGCTAACTAAGTCTTAAGGAAAGTTATAAAGGTTTCAGTTTTACAAAAATAATCTACAAACTAATGTTTCATACATGGATCATGAAATGGTTAATCCATTTTGTACATTTATTAAAATGTCAATGCAATATCTCTCACTGTGTTGGAGAAATCATGTTAAAAATTCATAGCCACATTGTGTTACAAGTTATATTCACATACTATTCATTGAGTGATGCAGATGATCTGGTATATTCTATTTTAGACTTAGTTCTCTGACATGCTGCCGCTTTTGGGAAGCAACATGGCCGCTCTTCAGCAGATGCAAGTCTATGTAAATGCTTCACACAGGAATGGAAGATCTCCTATCCACTTCAAATGGCAGGGAGATCTGGGGTGACATCACCAGTAGAAATGCCTCATTAATGTGCTTCTGTGCAGTACATGTGGTACTCATAAGAAACCCTGTAAGTGGTTAAACATTCAAACTGGGATTTGGCTAATTCTCTAGGATACTCCTCTTCTGGCCACACTGCTTTCTCTCTTGGTATAGGAATAGGGCCAAGTAGACCAGAAGTGGCACTAACTAGATTGATGGGGGAACACCTGCCACTGAAATATTTTCCTGTGTGTTGCAGCTGTGTCATCTTCACTCTCATCACCCTACCTTCAGGCATTCTCTATCTTTTATTCAAGGAATATGGCTCTACAAAAGAGACACTATCCTTGACAGCCTTGTTATGCCTTCAGGTCAATGCCAGACACACAGAGGTCCCTGACTTACAAAGGGAAAATCTATATTTTGCACTCCCTCAGGCAAAATACAGCATGGGAATGGCTCAGTAAGCTGCCTTTATGTTTCTTTCTAGCCTGAGTTAACCATAGGCAAAACTGTAAAATACTTGAAGTCTGAGGTTGATCTTTGGTTTCTACTTTTCTGTTTTCCATTTCTCTTGTTTAGGCTTTCTCCTATTGCTTAGGACCTATACTGTGCCAGACACTGTGGGGAAGGTTATACCAAAGTACAAAGAATTATACGACATACTCTTGCTCCACAGGAACTTTTGTGACCTAAATAGCTAATGGTGACATTTCTAACATGATAGCATCTGAGAATGAAGGCCAGTTTAGAATGGGGGTATATTCTCCAAATTATATGTAGCTGAGAGTCACCAAATCTGCCTGTGAGTCAGATGAGCACACTAAAAATAAGAAATGACCGTAAATGACTTCACCTCTAATGATTTGTTTTTTGGAAGAGCCATGGGGTTGACACATCACAGTGAATGTCCTGAAATCATCGCTTGTCTCTGGGGTACAACACAGGTAGTATAAATTAGGAATCACAATGTAAAACTCTCTGCACATAGCAGAGGTACCTCGTTACAATAGCCGACTGCTGTTCACAATAAATGCTTTTTAATAACTTGATAGTTTTGGTTACAAATGCTAGAAAATTATAATGTGCTGTACTTCAGCTTGATTTATTTATTACATTTACATAAGCTGGCTCTCCAAACTCCTACCTAGAATTCAATAATGTAGTTAAGTTTTCTAGTAACAAATAGCCAAAAAGAAAAGAAAAAGGGAAATGACAGACAGAACATGCAAAAATATTTTTAGCTCAAGTTATAAATTAAATGGAAAGTCAATAGTGTTTTCAGTAGCTCTCCAATGAGCAGAGGATTCACACGTAGAAGGGGTCACACTGCTGAAAAGAGCGTAAAACATCAAGACTCTTAGAGACATTCCAGAGCTCTAATTAAGAAGCCTGTCCCTACCACTCAAACACATACACACGCACACCCCTACGTAGACCCAACTCTCTTATTTTGACAATTTGACATGACCTTATGACACAGGTTTGGAGAGGCAAAATTTTCTACTTGTGGTATTGAAGTCTGGAATACATTATCTTTATTATTTCTCTTTGACACATGTGCAGTGTATTATAGAGAAAAGCTAGTTGGAACCAGAAAATTTGAGCTTGAGTTTCATTTAGCCATTTATTCGCTGTCCTGTGAAACAGTGCTTGTCCTCTCTCACCCTTAGTTTGTTTTACTTAGAAATAGAGGCTAATTATAGCTTGTATTAAATAAGCAATCCCCAACTTTGCAATGTATATCAGAAAACTCAGCTGAAAACTATAACTTGAGTGGTCATGTAGTTATAATGGGTTTAAATGGAACTTCAGAAGCTGTTTTGTGGTCATTGTGCCTGGTGTTGTATTCTTTTACCTGGTGATTAGAGACTTTTGTTGTGCTTTTGATCAGAATGAAAGAAAGTCAGGTCCATGTGTCAGTTTGATGTGTTCAACGGCAAGTAACAGAATACTCATTTTGTAGTGACGTTTAAAATAGGTTTTATTTTTTTTCTTGTAAATCAGGAAGGCTAGATGTAGGAGGCTGTAGCTCTGGCCCCTGTATCTCCTTGCTGCCAGTTCTAGCACATCTGCAATATTATTTGACTTTCCTTTATGAGTATAAAATGGTGTCCTCAACCCTCAGTATCAGATTCCATTCAAGATGGAAAGAAGCGCAGGGGTATGTGCCAGTCTGAGCAACAGAAAGAGACCCTGTCTCTAACAAGAAAAAAAAAAGGGTGGGGGGAAGTGAAGGGTATGACAGCCACTTTTTCTAATGAATCTATCAAATACAGAGATGTTTGCCTTCTTTCATCAGTAAATCAAAAGCTTTTCCAGAAAACTTCAGCAGATTGTCACTTCTACCCATTGATTATAGCAAAGTACTGGGGCCACCTGTTGGTGCAAAAGGGAGTGAAAAAAATAAAGTTTTTACCTAAGTACAATATTGCTCTGAATTTAATTTAGGATTTTTAGCAAAAAAAAAAAAAAAAAAAAAAAAAAAAAAGTGGGTGGGGGGAATTTGGGCAGTTGATTTAAAGTATCTGTCATAAACTAAAGTCTCAATGAAATCATTTAAAATTGAGTAATTTTCCCTAATCAGGCATCAACATTTCTGTTACATTGAGACTTCAGTCACCAACATCTGGTGGCAGAGATACAGGTGTATGAAACATTTCTATTTACCCAAATATGCCAGTTCCCAAATAGGATGACTGCATTTAGTGTTAAACTGGCTTTTCTCATTAGATACTCTAATTGAGGAATATTTAGCTTCTTGAATAGAAACCATCCAAATGATGTTTTTTTTTTGATATGTCTGTAACTATAAAAATCAGCAAATAAGAAGAACCAGACCAGTAAGGCATTGACTTGTGAACACATCTAAGTTTACCAACAGTAGCTAATTAGTAGTTGTATCTAGATGAATTATAAATGGCAAAAGCACTGCAATTGGCAACTATGACTCTCATGTAGACAGCCAATCGGCTGAATCTGTAAATATCACAAGAACCACTATTGTGCTTCTTATAGGTTTGAAGAGAAAGATACAAGCTAACTTGTGTGCATAAAGACTTTCTGCTCATTTGATGTTGGTAATAGAGTCATGCCCTTTATATCTCATTGTATTTACCCATGAGCTTAACAATTCCTATCTGTAACTGTAGTGGCAAATGCAGTAGCATCATCTATGTGGTTAGTATATAGCACTTGCAGGGCAAGAATTCTGCCCTAGTTACATGATTTAAAAGGTGATTGAGGAAGAGCTAGTATACAAGGGAGAGAACAGCCTGGAGGAAAAAGTACTGTGTAGAGAGGCCTTTGAAATAAGAAAAATGATCTATCTATATTAGCAAAGACCTAGGACGTATTTCTAGTTTCTTTTCTCATCAGTCTTCTTGGGCATAAGTGTAGAATGGTAGGAGTAACCCTAGATGCAGCTTGATCTATGGGATTACAAAGAAGTTAGGCTACATATGTGCACTTTGAGACTTCTTGGTAAGGACCATAGACATGCATGGCCCTACCTATCTCAATTTAAATGTCAGTTAAAAAAACATTAAGGTATTTGTTTCCATGGAAATAGAACTATCTCTTAGCACCTGGGTTCATAAATAGGAAAAGGTTGTCAAATTTTTCCAGAAGCTGAAGGCATTTAATATTAGAACAACTTTACATTTTTTATTGTAACCACCAAGACCAAAGCAATGTCTGATTGTCTTGGTGAAGTGAATTAATTTGATTGAGATCATGTCCAGTACTGGATATTAGGTAAATTCTGGTTAGCATCCTTGTAGATTTCTGTAGACCATCACCAATCAGAAACCCATGGGATAACAGAATGCTATTAGCTACAGTTTAGTATGTGATTTTCCATAAACTCCAATTGCAGGAAAATAGAAGGATTAAAATCAACTCTATCAATTTGCTTTAAATTTCAGGAACCTTTAGTAGATGTAGAAAAGTGTAACTCTCATGCAAGCTGAGTTGCCCCAAAAAACTCACCAACACCACCTGATGGGCTTTCATCCAGCACTATTGATGCCCCACCTGCCTTGTCCCCATAATTGGTAAAGTGGAACACAGACGCAATAGATGTATTAGTATGCTAGTATTTACACCACTACACTGCAAGCCACAAGAAGCTTAAAGGACAGCACCAGAACACATTCCCTCTGTGAGTGGAAATCTTTTGAGCTCAAGAAGAATGTAAATGTTATAAACCCTTGAGATATTTCACCAGGGATATCTGTAGACAAAAGGCTTCTTTAGTAGTGTCTATACACCAGAACCTGAAAACATGCAGACTACTTCAATGTACAACTGAAAAACAAGGAGACTGTACATTCATCTACATAAGAGAAAACCTGTATAAAGTATAGCTTGGGATATAAAACTAGGTTGAGCCTTGGATGGTGATAAACTGATTGATTGTGGCCAGTAAAGTGAAATGTAATTTTTTGCCTGTCAATCATCACTTTCTTTGAGAAATCATTATATCCGATTCTCTCATAACCCCTGCTTACCTGTATAAATCCAGGAGTAGGTATTTGACTCAGAATTAGTCAATTAGGAAAACTTAAGCCCCACTCCAATCGCAGTGATTGATTCAGGTGTGGTCATGTGACCCAGCTTGATGTCTGATGTCTCAGAGTCCTCACCAGGACATTTATGAAAGCTATGAGGTGAAAATGCTTCCTGGAGCCGCATGTAACAATCTTTCCCTCTGCATGGAAGGATAATGAGCCTACGAATGAAGTCAATGGTGACAAAAGCAAAGCTGAGAGATGGGGTAGTGGGGTGGGAGAAGAAAGAAAATGAGGGACTATGAATCATTTCAAAAGCTGCAATCAGCTGTAGTTGATCCTGAATCTATCTTTGGGTTTTTAATGCTGAGATTTTTTTTCTAAGCTATTTTGAGTTGGGATTCTCTCATTTGAAATTACAGGTATACTGTTAAATACACAAAATTGAAAGCACAATGAATTCCAAACATTGGCTTAACTTTTAAAAGGTTTTTAGAACACAGCCAAAATAACATCATATAGCAAGCCAAACCAGAAACTGGCTTGGGTATAGCCTGGCTATATTGTCAGTGACATAAGGAATCCAGACCTGCTAACTGTGTCACACCTGAGTCTTTAAATGATCTCATCACTGTTATTATGTCATACCTGCAGCAGCTTCTGACCTCATTAACACTATGTTCTATGATAACTGACAGAAGAACACTTCATGGCAATGCAATTTGAACTCAGGGCCTGGCACAGTGGTAACACTAACCAGGGAAATAAATACTCAACAAGAGTGAGCAGAGCTATATCTGTAGTTGGAGGTTGTAATTACTTTTGTAAGAAATACTAAAATCTGAAGGTATTTTGCAGAAAAAAATTCAATGGGCCTGAGTTTGTGCTCACAATTTATGTGCTGCACCAAAATTTTGCAGTGTTTCCTGGATCAAGGCAGGAAATGGTCCTGTGTTTATGCCAAGAATACACAGTTGGGAAGAGTGGCTTTTTTATGGAGTTTTGCTTTGCTTGGGGCCTAAAATTTAATCCTATACCACTGCTTCTCTACCCTCTACTACTTCACCATAAGCTGTGTGGGGTGCAAAGACTTATGTATAAATAGCATGAGATAAATGGGAATCCTCAATTGTGACTACAAAACAAAGCCTAAGGAAAAACACATCTACTTAGTTGAAGAAAGATGACTATCAGTGCTTATCTGTCAAAGCTCTTAACTAAAAAGCCACAGGACAAAAACAAAAACAAAAAAGAACACTGCAGATCAGAGGTTAAAATATTTTTCAGATCAGGTTCTCTTTGTACCTAGCTACTTTTTAGGCATTAGTCCAGTGTTTGTTGTTGTTGTTGTTGTTTTTCACTTAATAAGCGTGTTGTGGGGCTCATATGGAGACTAGAGTCTTGTACACATCGGCTTTGTAATGGCTCCTTGAGGGAATCGATCACAGATACTCTCTAGTTTTAACCTCAGAGCACGGGGTGGGCTTAGTTAAGTGTGCTTACTGTCAATATTTCTCCTCCATACATAATGCAGAGTACACGCTCCAAGTCCTGACTGGGTAATTTGAGTCAATACTTAGAAAAGTGAGAGAAGGAAAATCTCACGTTATGCTTTATAACCGTTGCTGTTTAACACTTAGATCAAAAGCTTTATGGTGATCATATCTTCAGTGCAATTCACTTACATGGGAATGGCTGGAGGTGATTTATTTCTATTATAGTGTATTCCCCATGGAAAGAAGTAGATGTCATTGGCTGGTGTATTAAAAGTTTCATGCTCTGTATGATTGTTGTGGGGCTGGTGGTGAGGGGAAATGAGAATGCTGGCTATGGTATTCTTGGTCACAAATTGCTGTAGAGTTTGTACATTCTTATTTGGCAAAAGCAGATAATATCACCACTGGTTTTTTTCTTATAATCGTAATATATACATGCATATATTCTATGTGTGTATGGAATAAAAGATCTGATAGAGTATTTAGCAAGCTATGTTGGATAGCTGTAATATACTCAACACTGCACAAGTAGCTGGAGGGTCAATGAAGAGTCTATAGATCAGGTAGTCCTTTGCCTGCAACCAGTCTCATCTTTTAGGGCATCATCTGACTGGCTCCAAGAATCAGGATATCTTTGTTTACTTTATTCTTCTTGGATTTTCCCAAAGGGAAGCTGGTGGTGCAAATGGCAGAGCAATGTCATGCTTGTGGTGTCCCTGTTTGTACTCCAGGGGACTCTTGCCTCTAAGGCAGCTCCAAGGAAGCAGGAAGCCAGGGATTCCAGTGCCAACAAGGATGTTAAAACACAGATCTAAACCCTAGAGTGATGAGGAGAACTCAGTGTCTGCTCGGAATAAATTCTAATTTGAACTCTTCAGGACATGTCCAAGGGCTTCAATTGAGTCTAGTAATATTCAAGGATTCACTTGAAATCTTGCATTTAAAACAACTGTTGGCCCATTAAAAAGTGGGCAAAGAACAAGAACAGACACATCTCAAAAGAAGAAAGCAGCCAACAAACAGATAAAAAAACGTTTAACATCACTAATCATTACAGAAATGCAGATCAAAAGCACAATGAGATACTCTGTCTCACCAGTCAAAATGGCTAATATTAAGAAGTTAAAGAATAACAGATGTTGGTGAGGATACAGAGAAAAGGGAATGCTTATATGCTTTTTGGTGGGAATGCAAATTAGTTCAACCTTTGTGGAAAGCAGTTTGGAAATTTCTCAAAGAACTAAAAATATAACTACCATTTGACCCAGCAATCCCATTACTGTGTATATACACAAAGGAATATAAATTCTATCATAAAGACACATGCATATATATGTTCACTGTAGCACTATTTATAATAGCAAAGACATTGAATCAACCTAGGTGCTCATCAATGGTAAACTGGATGAAGAAAATGTGGTACATATACATAATGGACTAGTACTCAGTCTTAAAAACAATGAAATCATGTCCTTTGCAGCAACGTGGATACAGCTGGAGGACATTATCCTGAGCTAATTAACACAGAAACAGAAAATCAAATATTGTATGTTCTCACTTAAAAGTGGGAGCTAAATCTTGGGTTCACACAGACAAAGATGAGAACAATAGACATTGGAGATTCTGAAAGGAGGGAGGAAGAGAGGGAGGGTGGCAAGGACTGAAAAACTTCCTTTTGAGAACTATGTTTAGTGCCTCACTGATGGGATCAATAGAAGCCGAAATCTCAGCATCACATAATATACCCCGGTAACAAACCTGCGCATATACCCCCTGGATCTAAAATAAAAATGGAAATTTAAAATAAATATATACATAAATAAAATCGCAGTTGGATAGTCCCATAGAGCTGGGATTTTTACAAACCGTGAATTAGAATTTATTCTAGTTTTATTGTATGGGTTGAATATCCTTAATCTGAAAATCTAAAATCATCCTCCACATTCTGAAATATTTTGAACACCAACATGATACTCAAAGGAAATGCTCACTGGAGCATTTTGGGTTTCAGATTTTTGGAGTAGGGAAGCTGAGCCAACATAATACAAATATTCAAAAATCGGACAAAATCCAAAATCTGAAACACTTCTAGTCCCAAGCATTTTGAATAAGACATACTCAATCTGTATTTGTAAAAGATATTTGAGACAATATGCTAGTACAGTTTCACAGCGGCCTTTGTCACAATAAGCAAGGTATAGATTATAAATGTACTGTTTAAAGTCATTATGAATTAGGTGAGGTATTCATTTCTTGATCTTTAACTTGTCCTTTTCAAGAAATCTAGTGTAGAGGAAAGAGCTGGAATGTGACTTAGGAGTCAGAAACACTGGAGTTCAGTCCTCCCAAATGTAATTACGGTGTAATGAGCCAGTCACATAATTTTCTGAGTCTGTTTCCCTTTCAAGTAAAAAATAAGAAAATTTACATTTGAACTTGTGTTAAGTGTCAGACATTGTGATGACTAAATATTTTGCATTCATTTTATTGAGTTTTGTTATAGCCCCATGAGGTAAGCATTATCATTGTTCCTACTACACAGACAGGGCACTGAAATCCAGAAAGGCTAAATTTTTTTTGTCTAAACTCACAAAGATAGGAAGTGATTAAAAAGGAATTTAAAAGCAGAAAAATTTGACTTGAGACATTTTGCTAATTATTACACTTCTGATACTACACGTTTCTTTACAGGATGGTCATAAACAAAATTTTTTAATACATGAAAACACTTTGTAAACTGGAAGGTAATATGGAGGTATGGTTAATATATTATTTAGTCACATCTAGAAGTCCTGTTCCTCATACTTCCTCATTGATTGCTTACTCTTCCCTTGCTTGCCTGAACTCCTACTGCAGTAACTCATTCCATCCAAATGTTTCTGACCCCCTTCCATTAATGTTTGCTTATTCTAATTCCTTAGAGTTCCATTCCTGGTTGATGCCTAGCAAAATGTTTTCTATGCTCAGATATTGATAGTCCCTGATATACCAAATAAATTTATTTTTCAGGTTAACATACTCACATTTTAAGAGACAGTGCCTCATAGCCTCCCAATACCTCAATATATTGCATGAGATGATAAGCCTAAGCAGGAACTTATCTTTAAGTTAGTGTAGTTATTCCATAAACTTTTCATGGAGAAGTCAACTCTGTGAGCCAGGGCTTTCTCGGGTCTGGCCTTTCGACCATTTCCATCAAATTCATCCAGTATGTATGATCAAAATTTAGACTCTCAGGCCCCACTTCGAGAATTTGATTCAGTTACTCTAACAATAGCCTTAGTTGAATCTTACCCACCCTATAGTTTAATGCCAACTGCTCTAGAGTTAATTATAGATCCCACTCTATAATCTCTTACAGACTATTTAATACATTAGTAGGTATTTCCCATGAGGGATGTCAGGGCTAGTTTGCTCAGAAGAGTGTTGACTGTCAAGGATAAGCATTATAGGAAAAAGTGTGTGTGCATCTTGCATGATGGAGTAGATGAGTTGTGTAATGTATAGAAATGATCCATTCATTTAAAAGGCTGCTTTCCTAGTTGAGGTCAAATAGCATTTATAGTTGGCTTGCATAGCATCTTATTTGGAATGAACCAATAATGCAAACCCAACTGTTCAATTTAGCTGCATTTTGGGGAGATGGCTGGTTGATTCACTTGCAACTTTGTTTTAAATAATTTTCCCTGAAAAAAAGTTTAATGAATGTGCAGAGATATTTATTTTTAAAAGCTGTAATTTTTTATGTTCCCTTTGTATAGCACATGACAGACAAGAAATGAAAGAAGGCTTCCTCTAGGTCTGACGAGATTCATGAGCAGTCAGTGAGCAGGAGGAGAGGGGTTATTGAAGCAGTATCACTCTGACACGGTACTGAGTTGTAACATAGGAGCTTTTCCTGTGACTAAAAGGATAGAAAAAAAAAATCAACCATCCCAGGAACACTGAGGTCTACTGAACCATGTGCTCTAAGCAGCCGGAAAAATCTCAAGTCTCTCACTTCAAAGGTGTTGGAAAACTTTCAAGTGCAAATGCCAGAGAGCTAGGACCCAGAGTTGAAAGAGAGGAGCATAGTTTTTGTTTTATTTTCAAAGGAGAATAGTGTCTTCTGGAATTGCCATGAGTACATTATTTTGGGTGGGGGTAGTTTTTATTTAAGGGCCTCTGAAACCAAGACAAAAATATATAAAGATGATTGTGACACTAGAAAATAATCTTGTTCCCAAGGGTCTGTCAATCATCATATTCCGTGCCCGTTCTCCCCCAGCTGTATAAATTGGCCGCAGGGTACAGTATTTGAGGGAGAAAGCTTCAGTCTCAGAATATTTCTCTCAACCCAATTTTTCTTAAAATCGGTCTGGCTATTAAGTTAGAAGATAGAAAATATAACCTTAGCGAGAGAGATACATTCATAGGGACATCTGCCAATCAAAGCAACTACATTTCCACAGACAAGTCTGCTGTCCATAACATGCTGAAATGCCCATGTCCATAGAAGAACATCTGAACATCAAATTTTGGAGACTATTTAGCAGATGAGTTCATGGGATTTGCTGTAGATTCCTTTGTTTGAACAAATTGGAGGCTACTCCCTGGAGCCCCAACTCAGAGAATTTTAAAGCTTTCACTGAGTTACAAAAACAGAGGGAATAATATCGTGGGTCAGTGGCTACACTAGTAAATCATTTATTTACAAAGGCTTACTTTGTAAGCCTTTATTTTTTTACAAATACCCCTTGAAATCCGGTAAAATATAAATACTGTAAAATAGTTCACACCTTTTAGAAATCCGTGGATAGACTTGATTCTCTGCTAATGGATGTACTTGGGCAGCCTAGGAATTTTAGCAACTCCTTCCTCTTGGTGGCTGCACACACAGAGGAGGAATTGTTGTCTCTTGTGATTGGTGTTCTGAGTAAAAACAGCAAGTCTTCAGGAGCAATTGAAAATAGAAATCCGTTATTAAAATTGAGTTGTTCTGCATATTCCCAAATGAATTACCTTAGAAATGGTTATTTAAAAAGCATTTGTCATGATCTGACACAGCCCCTTGTCAAGGTTTACTAGCTATCAGTGTTATTAGGATTTTTTTGTGTTTGTTTTTTTCCATTAAGCTGTAAAGGTATTTTAAGACTTCATTATTTTTAAAGGATGCCTATGCTGTTTTACTGGATTTTTAGCAGTTTATTTCCAACTTTTTTGCATATGGCTTCAGGAGAGACTATATTCCCCCTGATACTGTCTACAGGACAGTGTCTCATGCCTCTCTATTAACTATCACGTTAGTTGGTAGGACAGCAGGACTGATATCTGAGAGAATCATCAGAGAGAATCTTTAATTTACTCATTCAACAAGTATTTTATGGAGTTTCCAAAATACGCCAAGCACTATTTTGGACATGGAAGTAAAACTGTGATCCAAAAGAGAAAGTTCCTCCCCTTAGGGGCCTGACTTTCTAGTTGAAGAAGAAAGTAAACAATTAAATGAATAAATATATAGTATACCTACCTGTAAAGAAGGAGAAATAATCTCTTCTTCTATCCATCATACATTCTCCAGCTGGGGCCCTGCAAATAAAATTGACCAAAGACATATTCATAAGAGAAAAACAAGCAGAGTTTTATTAACTTGAGCATTGTACTTACAAATGGGAGTGCTCAGAGATGTGTAACTCAAAGCAGTGGTTAGAACCTGTATGTACATATTATCTTAGGCTATAACCAACCAAAAGGAGATTGGGACTTCTAGATGGGTAGCCAAATTATAGGAAGGTGATCAAGACAAGTGTGGAGCATTGAGTTTACTGGACATAAAGATGGGGACAATGGACACAGGGGACTACAGAGGGGGTGGGGCAGGAGGGGGTGAGAACTGAAAAACTCCCTGTGGGGTTATATGCTCATTACCTGGGTGATGGGATTATTCATTCATCAAACCTCAGCCACATGAAATATACCCATGTAACAAACCTGCACATGTATCCCCAAACCTAAAATAAAAGTTGAAAAAAAAAGTCTGGTGAACAAGAGTTTTTAAATAAGTTTTATTGTGCAAATTTAAATTTCTCCACCAATAAAAGCTAAGACTCCTTCCTTCCCTGGTAAAGAAGAGGGCGACATCCCTACGAATGGGATTTTAAAAAATAAATGTAACTTTTATTTACAAAGGGAAAACTTGGGCCCTGTTTTAGAGGTTTTCTTGAGTCTGCTGGTTCTCAATGACCTTTAGCTCAAAATAATTGATATGCCCAAGAGGTATATTTTGGAGTGGCATAATCTGTTACTGCTCATACATCTGGGTGACATGAAGAAAAAATAAAGTAGGCAAAAAAGGTGATGATGCAGAAAGAAGCAGGTAGTGCTAAATTGTTATATTTCATTAAGCCAAAGACATCAACAGTTGCAAATACATAACTATATTTATCTACCAACTAAAAGAAAAGCTTCCAATTATAATCGTGAGAGATCATCAATCGTTAGATGCGTCCAATTCTCAGAGACGTTAAAAAGTAAAAAAAGATGATCTGAAAATCTTAATCAAAGAAGAAGAATGGGTTGCCAGGAAGGCTTTACTGACAAAGTGGTATTTAAGTAGAGAACCCAAGAAAAATGGATGGTGGGAAATGTATGACTATTGGAGGAAATGCATTTTGAGCAGAGAGACCAGGAGGTGCAAAGTGCCTGAGGTGGAAACATACTTGGAATTCTTATGCTGGAGGAACAGCAAGCAGGCTGGTATACCTGGAAGGAATGGACAAGGGGCAGACTCTGTAAGGCCTTCTAAACCATGACCAGAAATTTAGATTTTACTCTGAGTGACAAGGAAAGCCAGAGGAGGCCTTGAGTAGATGATGGGGACCCAATCTCATTTAGAATTTCAAGGAATTGCTCTGGCTACTCTCCACTCTGAAAAATAGACAATAGGGGAGAAATGGTGAAAGCAGAACAAAAGGTAAGAAGCTATTGAAACAATTCATACAAGAGATGATGGTGACTTTGACTAGTAGGTTGGGAGCTAGCAGGGAAGTTGATGAGAAGCGGTAGATTACTGGTGAATCTGAGAATCTGTATATAACCAATTTTCAAAAGGATGTATTATTCTTTAGGAATCCCAGTCAAATTTGTTATGCAATTGAGCTGAGACCTTAGGATACTCTTTAGATACAAAAAATCAAATTAAAGAAAAAGCCCCAGTGCAAGGGTAACATTTAGAAATCAGAAGATGTCAATGGGCAGGACCTTTGATTGAGAAGCTCAGAGGGATTCCCCATCTGGGCATAAATGCTAGCTTTAAACTATGGATTAACAACAAGAATTTCTTTGGAGAGTAAGACTAGCCTGTATGCCTAAGCAGAGAATGTACTGCAGAAAAATTAAACTAGTTGAAATTGGATGAGGAAAAAGTCCTGAAAATCTGTGAACTGAGTATCTTTATCCAAACAAGTTGATGATCCCAGTCCACATTATGTTTTATGAACTCTGCTTGGTAAATCTATCTACTTGTCTATTTTTATAATTTCTTTAAATAATATGTCACTTAGTAAAATTTCATCTTCTTATTACCAAAAAATGAGGGGTAATATTAAATGAGTGAAAGAAATTTTAACTTTGGGGTCCACATGCCTGGGCTTGAATGTCAGGGCTGCAACCTCCTGTTTACCTGGACTTTGGACAGTTACTTAACTTCTTTGAACTTTCAGCACAATCTTATGAAAAATGAGGCTAATAATACCATTCTCATAGCATTTTTGTAAGAGTTAAATGAAATCACATAGTTTTGGCATCCAGCACCACAAGTGACATGGACAGAGTCTGCCCCTTGTCCATTCCTTCCAGGTATACTAGCCTGCTTGCTGTTCCTCCAGCGTAAGTTTTTAATCAGTAGGTATCCTCATAAAGGTACAAGTACATACCGAAGAATATAATGCCCTGAAGACCACCATGGTAGCAGCAGCCATACTTCCAGATGGAGAGACAAGGAAATGAACTGGTCTCCTACAGACAGACAAGTCTAATTCAAAAAGGAAAAGAAGAAAGATTTCAAATCATGGCTCTTTTCACATCTGGGTTTTCTTCCTTTCACAACACCTTCTATGCACTTGACTTGTGTGACAATGTTGGCTCTCCTTTATCTGAAGTCTCCCTTGAGTTTTGCTTCTTGTTAAGGTATCAGTTTTAGCCAGTTAGAATCTGTTGAGTAAATTAGGTGAGCAGGTGGAAAACTTAGAGGAATAATAGAACACTTGCTGTTGTGGGCCTTTAGGGGATTTCTTTAGTGCTATCCTGGAAAGAATTGTGCACATTGGGTGGACATCTCAGAGAATCCTGCTGAATTAGACTGTGTTAAATCTGTTGAACTAAACTCTTTGAATTTAGATTGGTGTCTCTCCTATTCTGTCTTTGACTCTTGTTTTCTCCTTCTGTTGCCTGTGTAAAACATCATCCAGTTCCTCTCATGCCTCTCTTTCCCTTTCATTTTTCCATCTGTTTGTCTCTCACTTTTCCCCATATCAGTTTGTCTCTATGCCTTCCTATGGCACCTTTCACCAGAGATCCTTGGAGCTCGACATAGTTGTTACTCAGTGGGCTTCGCAGAGCACTCATCGGGTTTTTTATCATAGGACAATTAAGTCCCTGCTGCCCTTCACTAACCTGTAGCAAGGGGTCGTGCTCTTCCTGGTTAGTTTAAGGCAGCAAGGAGCTAAGTGTTCCCTTATTCGGTGTGGTGGTAAACTCCTTTTATTATGTTCACAGATTCACACTCTGCTCTTAAAAGAACTTATTCTTACTAACTTCTTGGCTGATTACCACCCTGCCTGTAATCCATTCTTATGGCAGGAAAGGTGCTGTCAAGGCACCTCCAGGCAAAGTGGGATAATAGTGTTTTTTGACACCTTTCAGTGTGAGCTCGGGCTTTCTTAAGTAATGGAGACAGCCTGCATCATTATTTTTAAGGAGAAAGATGTCACTGTATGGCTGAGTTTGTGTTCACTAATGTGCAGATTTGGGAGGCCATCATTTTCTATTTTCCTCGGATGCATTGTCAAGAGATGGATAGAGCAGAGTGGGCTCTGCTTCACATTCAATGCTACAGGGACTTAAACAATGTAGGCATTCTACAAAGGCTACAATTTACAAACAGTGTGTTCATATTCACCTATGCATTTGTTAGGCTGTAGTTAACACCTGAATGCATTGTGAATGAGTATTAGAAATATTCATGAGAAATACTAAGTGCAGGCAACATATATTTCAAAAAAGCCTCTCAATTTATATGAAAAATCATCATGTTTCTGATATTGTGGAGGCAAATATGCACAGTAAAAACGTAATCTTGTTCCATAAAGCCCAATTATCAATTAACACCTACTGGTTCTACCTGAACACCATACATCCTGGGATACTGCCAGCAACAACACACAGATTTTTCTACCAGTACCCAGTATAATGTGGGTGTAGAGTAAATATTAAGCTACTGCTGAGGCAATTGAAAGATAAAAGGAAATTTTGTAGAATTGATTAACCGACAGTATTTATCATGACCATGATGATTCTTTTAGATTAATTGCAACACACACGCGCACACACATACACACACCAAATCCTTTTTCTTTTCCACTTAACCCTCCTCCTTCTCCTCTTTCTTCCTTCTTTTTCCTCCTCTCCCAGCCTCCTCCTCCTCTTCCTTCTCTTCCAAACAGTCTTTCAACTCCTTTTCTAATGGCTGTCTTTTTCCTTGGTCCCTTAATATTTCTTCTCTAATAAATCATTTCAAATGAAAAATTGAGGGTTGCCTTAATAACTTCTAATCGGTCCCTTGGGTAATTCCCTTGCTAAATCTCTCAACCTCAGCTCTATTCCTAAATATCACAGCTTCCATCTTAGCTTTGGTGTCCAACCACTTTGAGTTGTTGACCTGCCATCAATCTTTCACACATACTCTTATTCATCCTACATGCAACTTCCAGACAATCTTTTCTTTCCTCTCCTATCTCAAGTTACTAGTGTGGTTCCTAAATGCCTAATGAGTCACATTTCATCTCCAAGCCCCGAATTCAAGACTTTCTCTTGACTGCCCACACCATCAGTAGCATCATTTGTTACACTAACCCTTTGCCTATCTCTATTGCGCCAAGTCCAGTTGCCTTGCACCCTCTCCTTCCATTAACTCATTTTCTTCATGGCGTTTTGGAGCACTTTGCACAGATTGTCCTGTGGTACCCTGCCAATGCATGCTTCATTTCCTTATGACTGGTTCAAACTTCTCACCTTCCTGGAAGTGTTTCTGGGGATTTTTATACCTTTATGAGTGTTCTACATAGTTTTACTTTATGTATCAACATTGCTGGCAGCCAGATTTCATTTGTTGCTCTGTTACCTGGCAGTGTTTCTCAAGGAATGTGTGATTTCTTTTTCCTGTTAAATTATAAACTAATGTTTATCAATGACCTTGCTTACAAGATGTTTTGCATTTTGCTATGCCTGGTATAGAATTGTATACATAATAGACATAGATGAATGTTTCTTAACTAATTCTTCTCTCACTTCCTTATTGATACATTCCTTGTATTGCTGTTTCTTTTCACATAGGTATGAAAAATATCTCCAGTTAGATTTTTTAACCCCTCAATTGTATATTTTTTAGCTTTTTTAGGGTTCCGCATCCAATGAGTAATCAAAATTGTCTTGACATACTAAAATAAAATAGCGAAGTTAACTAATTATGATTTTGTCATATTTTCATTATTAGCAAAAAGGCTTATTGCTTTTTCATTATTACTTCTGCAATTGATCTTGCTGTACTTTCCAATTGTTTGGAATATTATCTTTAAAGAAAAGTCATAAGTTCCTTTAGCAAAAGAACTTTGACTTCTGGTTTTTTTTTTTTTTTTTGCTTTGTTTTATTTCAGAACAATGAAAAAGTTGGGCTGGAAAAGTAGTAGATTCTAAGTAATAATTTGCTGAATAATCTTAATAAAACAAGGCTCTCTTTTGTTTTGTTCATCAACAACATAACACAGTCAGCATTTAGAAGCATGGACTCTGAAGCAAAACTGTCTGAGTCTGAATTTGAACTCTATCCCTTTAAACTGTGTTTAAACTTGACCAAGTTACTAAACCTTTCTGTGCCTCAGTGTATACACTTGTAACATGCAAATCACAATAATACTCACCTCTCAAGGTTGTTGTAAAGATTAAATTGAGTTACTACATGTAAAACATTTATTTTAAAAAAAAACTGGTTGTGTAACAATTACTAAAATATATTTGCTAATATATCTTGTCCACAAGCACTGTAATCCGGTAGAGTAGTTCTCAACCTTATTTTAATCTTTGATGGCTAGGATAATCAGACTCTACTTTGGATTTTTTCCGTATGAATAAATATTGTAAAGAAATAACAGCATTAATAGTGCCTTGTGCCCTTTTTTTCTGTAGAACGGTATTAGTGATTGATCTGATCCTGTTCATATAAGCAGAACTAGGAATGTAGTTAATAAAATAACAAAAATAAATAGTACAATCAAATAAGATCTTCAGAGAATATACAAAAGATGGACCTACAAAGCATAAATGTAACTAGTGTTTAAATTGCCACTGCAGTATTCTGACCTCTTGACAAGAAGGATGTGTAAAAAGGGGCATTGACATTTTCTGGATGATGGCTTTGCAGAGAAGTGCCTTTTTAGAGTTATTCCTGGGAAATTATACTTTGAACTTATGCCCCGACTAGCTGGATCATGCATGATATATTTGTCCTCAGCCCAGAATCCCTTTCTCCTCCCATAACCATCTTAAGCCTCTACGTACCAGGCAAAATCTTATTCATATTTCAAAACTCAACTCAGGTGTCATTTTTGTAATTCTTTGTCCCTCCACCTTTACCTGCACCCCCCAAAAAATAAATCAGTTCTCAAAACTATTTCTATTACATACCCATGTTCCTGTCATTGTATTTATTACCTGTATTCTAATTTATTTGTTTACATGCCTGTCTTCTTTTGACTTAGTTACTTTATGGACTGGACTTTAATAAGTTCTCTATCCCAAGTTTCCAGCCCAGTTTCCAGTACACTTTGCCTGTTCAGTCCAATGTTTTTGTTTTGTTTTTCTTTGTTTATTGATTTTTTAAATCATTTATAAAAATATTTTTCATTTGTTGAATGGGAAATCGAATAAAAAGCACCAAGAGCATGAATCCTATATTGATGAGAAACATTCTAAAAATTAATTAGAACAGAAAATGAGAACTTACAAAGATCTTACAAATGAAGGATGTCTTCTGGAAGATACATGCAAAAAAACTCTTTAGTAATGTCTGCTACCTATATAAAAAGTTGGAATGACATAAACCCCACAAAAAAAATCCAACTACGTTTGTTCACGTAAAACTAAAGGCTTAAAAGCAGAAGTCATAAAGAGCAGAATAGGAAAAGTGTCCAGGGCCTGGGTTGGGGGGTGGAGGGGAGAGTTGGTAGTGGTGGGTGGTATAGGATGTGATTTCGGATTAGGTGAATTTGGTTTCTAATTCCAATTCAGCAACTAATATGGCTTTAGAAAATTAAAGTATTGCTGGGCATGGTGGCACGTGCCTGTAGTCCCAGCTACTTGGGAGGCTGAGGTGGGAGGATCGCTTGAGCCTAGGAGTTCTCTAGCAGGATCAGGTGTCCGCACCAAGTTTGGCATCAATATGGTGACCTCCCAGGAGCAGGGAACCACCAGGTTGCCCAAGGAGGGGTGAGCTGGCCCAGGTTAGAAACACAGCAGGTCAAAACTCCTGTGCTGATCAGAAAGTTAAAGTATCTTTTCTTAACCTCAGTTTCCTCATGTGGAAAATGAAACCTACCTCTGAGTGCTGCTATGAAACTTAAATGCTTGGCATAAATAACTGTTGAATAAATGTTAATTATTATCATCATTAGAGTAGATAAGATATAGGTTCATTAGTGGAAGCAGTGTAATAATGTAACTATTATCCTAATAGTTCAATTTCACAAAATTCTTGAGAATGAGATCCATAGACCTTGTTAAGTAATATCCAAATAGAGGTGCTACTAGAAATGTATTATTTGATGTTCATATAGTTATAGAACCACTTTATTTTCTGAGTGTATACCAATTTATTATTGCATATAACTTGTATTCTTTAAAAGGTACTTTATTACAGAAAAAATTAATTTTGGTACAGTTAGTTCAGGATACAATGAAATAATGATGAACTATCCTTGTAACTGAATTAATTATATGAAGTATATGTCTTCTGTTTTGAGGTTTTCTATGATTAAGTATTTGATTAGGTTCTGGGTTCAAAGCTCATCAATATTTTAAAAGAAAAGATTACACTTAAGCAACATAAGTCTTCTCACTGCTAGTGGGTGAACATGGTGAACTAACTTCTATGTGAACACAGACCATGCAACTAGAGTTAGTTTCATGTATGATCTCTCAAGATATCTAACACTGAATGGCCCTCTTAAAGTTAAGACTACTGAGTTACAACCATAAATTTAGAAAATATTAGACACAAGGTTTATTTGTATTCTCTTTTCCCAACGGAGCCCCTAAAAATAAATAAAAATGGTGCTTTTGAAAAGTTCAGTAGTTTCATCATGCCAATAGAAAAAATATTGGCATTTCAAATTTTAACAAGGATACTTTTAAGGAAAGAAAATTTAATATTGTAATATGGTTTCATGAACAGTCTTATATCAGTAAGTTCAAGCAACTGGCAACCCAACAAAAACAGAGCAAGATCCTTGTGTATTCTATCGTATTAATTCCATTAAAACAAGATTGAGCAACTCCAAGCCTGATTTTGGAAACCTGATTGATGAAATAGTCTATATCTGTTATGAAGGCCTCCTCCACTCAATGTGAGAATAAAATCTTAAACGGTACTTAGTGTGACTGCATATTGTTTTTATGTCAAATTGTTAATTGTATGTTTCTTTATAGTACTTCTCTGTGGTAGGTTTTACTTCCATTTTCAGAAAAAAAAATAAGAATAAAGCAAATTTAGTAAATTTTCCAAAATGAAAGGCAAACTGAGGCCCAGAGGAGACTTAATGGAAACTGTCAGATTGACCATTGGAACATTGTAAGTTTCCTATTAATTAGCTAAAATATAATTCTTAAAATATACAGAGAACATGCTAACATAGAGAAGGATTAGGGCATATTTGAAAGCTTGAAATTTCCCTTAATAATGAACTTCTTAATGGGAACATTCATTTCGTCATTTCTCTCGTCTCTTTTTTCATCCACCACCTCCTACCCTTTCTTAATTACAAATGACTTTCAAACAAAGTTTCTCTCATAAGAGGGATAGCCTGTGCCCCTCATACTACTCACCTGCTTATACACATACTGTCCTAGTTTGACAGCTCAGTCAATTAATCATTACCAGGCTCCTCCTGGCACTGATACACAGAGCTCTTTTGCTTGGCAGAAGACAAAAAGAAAACAAAATATATAAAGAGAAAAAAAACTTTTAGCAGATTAATGCTTCATTTGCATTTACCTCTATCTCATTCATTTTTGAATAGAATAAGCTAAGATTTCTAATTAAAACTTCCCACTGGTATAAAAATACTAAAACCAACTTAAAATGTAATAATGCAGTAATACCTTTTATTTCAAATACAGTGCTCATGTTTAAAGAATACAAAGCAGTTTAATGATTTAAAAAAGAAACACTATTTCTCACCTGTTCTTTTATGTGTAACCTTAAATATATATGACAATCACTGTTGGGATTCTGAAATAGAACTTATGCCCGTGTTTTCTATTCTGGTTTTCTTAAGATTGATGATACCTCACTTTAGAGCTCAGCAGAGATAATTTCTATTTCTTGGAAGTAATAAACAAATTCTCCCACAAGAAATTGTTAAGGATAAGGTTCCAATTTCCTTCAATATCTAGGAGGAATCTTGAAAACTCCAAAAGTGTTGTAGGTAATGGTTATCTTTGAGCTAAAATTAATCTGCCAGAAATGCCCCATGCTAACAGCCACTATAAAGATAGACTGCCTTCAGGATGGATGGTGTTACCGATGGAGAAGCTCTTTCCATATGGGACTTGGGTGGCCTATTTGAGTCAACATGAACTACACTCCAGGATCATCCAGCAGGAAGTAAATATGAATCTTAATAACTCCCTCTAAATTCATACTTTTATTCTGTGTTTGCGTATTGTTGCTGGACCAAAACAGATATCAGAGTTATTATAATGGCCTGGTTCATTTTGAAGTTGTTTTCATACAGTAGGTAATGGAGATTTTAGAACTGAGGAAAAATCAGAGCACCGCTTGCTTCATTTTGGCGCTATGCCAAATCCTTACCAGAACAGGAGTATTTTGGTGATTATCGCCATCTTGAACAGGCAGGAATGACACTTTGCATCTCTGTCCGTGGTGCTGAAGCAAAAACAGACAAACCGTTCAATTTTAGATTTCCACAATAGAGTTAAACACTGTTTAACAAAAATGTTTGCAATTGCATGTTTTGTTACAGAATGTGAAGTCTTCAAATTAGTATAGAGATGTTTAACAGAGAATGGGGGAAAAAAGTAAAGTTGCAATAGATGCTAATTTAGCAGGTTAATTTGACATGCACTTAGAACAGATGCTCAGTTGAATACACCATTCAGTGTTAGCTTCTAAATTTATCAAAACCATTTAAAATAAAGGTAGTACAAGCATTATCTGATTTCTTGAATATTCAAAGCACATCAATTAGAAAATTTGACAACATTACTAATTGAGTTGTGCAGATTTTATGCTGTTTATTAGTCTGAATTAAGAACAAAAAAGAGAAAAACAGCTTTGCTATTTTATAATTGCCCTCCAAATATTCAGTGACACTTGGATTATGAAACTTAATTTAAAGTATTCAAGTGATCCTAACTGCTATACCAGTGGTAAGGATCCATGGATTCTGCAGCAGAAATGTTTAATGCATCAATTTAAATCAGTTCTGTTATTTATGGGAAGGGAAAATAAAATATTCTCCTAGGGGGCTGCTAAAGAGAAAAGTACATTCTTCTGCCACCTGTCAGGTATTCCAATAAAGATGAGATTGTACCTGCTTCATCTTTAAATGAGCACTGACTAAATTGTGTTTCCTACTGTGCGGATTTCCAAATCAGTTTTTTAAATACTGTGTTTTTCTCTGTCTTTGAAACCTACCTACCACCCTTTCTCTTGGCATATTAAAGAATTACTGTGGAGGAATATGTAAGAAGAATCTATATAGTGACATAGGGAAGGTATGAAACATCTCCAAAATGACTAAGCTTTTTTTAAAAAAAAAATTATTTCATTGGGTTTTCTTCAGTGCTGACTTTTCCTTCTTAACCACAGTCCTTTCATTAGCCTCAGAGTTGGAGTGGTTTTGAACACAGGGCTTCTATTTATCACTAAAGCCACTGGCAATGTTTAAAGAAGAAGGGTCCCAGATGCTCTCTTACCATTCTGGAAAAATCTCAATCTCCCAAAAATGTCCTAATATTTCTGAATAATCCTAAAACTGATTTGAAAAGGAAAAATTCCAACACCAAAAAATTGTTGGAGAATATTGACATTATTCTATATGAGAACTATAGAGAAATGTTATATGGCTTGTTTGAGGATTTCAGGACATTGAGGTCATTATTTGGCTTATGTCTTAGAGGAATGTACATGTTATGAATGCAAGATTTAGAAGAAAAATTACTTTTTGTATAAAAATGTAATCTGGAATGATTCTGTGCCCTATCCTTCTTCCTTTGAGTTTTTGAGCTTATACTTTCAGACAGAGAGATACTTCTGAAAACTTTTTTTATGCCATTATTTCATGAAACACTTTTGTAGTATGTTATTTCTTTGGTGACTTGTGATCACTTTTCACCTAGTCTACAACAATTTCAAAATAATCAAAATACTGCTGTATTAGTCAGGGTTCCCTAGAGGGACAGAACTAATAGGAGATATATATATAGTATTAATTTACTTGATCACAAGGTCCCACAATAGGCTGTCTGCATGCTTGAGGAGCAAGGAGAGCCAGTTCAAGTCTCAAAACTGAAGAACTTGGAGTCCAATGTTTGAGGACACAAAGCATCCACAGGAGAAAGATGTAGGCTGGGAGTCTAGGCCACTCTTGCCTTTTCAAAATTTTCTGCCTGTTTATATTCTCTGGCAGCTGATTAGATTGTGCTCACCAGAGTAAGGGCGGGTCTGCTTTCCCCAGCACTGACTCAAATGATAATCTTCTTTGGCAACACCCTCACAAACACACAGCCAGGATCAATAATTTGTATCTCTTAATCCAATCAAGTTGACATTCAGTATTAACCACCACAAGTCCACCACTTGTCAACCTGAGCCCATACACATCTCCTGAGATCATACATAATCTTCAAATAAAGACAAAAATAATGTCATAATTACACCTAACATAATACAACATCCTTCATACAACCAGAAATGCACCAATCCCCAACCCAAATATTATTACCTAAAATTAACAATACTTCAATGCTGATATGAAGTCAATAAATCTTAGTCACAGGATAAAGGAAAAGGAAATAAAATGAAGATATTTTCTTAGTACAAGTGTATACATGCACAAACATGTTTTTTAAAAAAGAAGGAGGAAATACTCATAATGGTTACAGTCCTAGTTTCTGCAGCTGGTCACGTGGTTGTAGCCGGTATTGATGACTACCTTCTTCTACTACCCATTCTATATTCCCTTTGCCTTCAGCAAGCACCTCAGCAGATCATGTTTTTTGTTGCTGTTGGGGAGTGACCCAAGCCTTCATTCCTGAGGGGTCTGGACCATTTGTAGTCCTGCCTAGATTGGACTGTTGCAGTTTTCCATTGACCTTAATGACATGGCATGGTAATACTAAGAGACACCCTAATGGAACTCCTATATTCCATTCATTCTCTTCTTACCGCTGTTATAGAGTAGTAGACTGATTTCATCTTGATAGTTTGGGTCAATCACCCCAGCCAACACTGTAACTCCCTTCTTAGCCTGTTGACTTAATGGTAGGAGGAGCCCAAAGTGTCCAGGTGGCAATCTTAACTTCCAGTTTAATGGAATTGTTGTTGTGTCTCCTGGTGGCAGCATTCCTCCCTCTGGAACTAAGACCTCTAGGCCAGCAGAATGTAATGTTGTGGGAATAAGGAAGCAAACATTTTGCTAGTGGATCACTAGGGGTGATGGTGAGTGGTGCCACTTCCACTTCCACCCCTTGATTCCTGCACCTGTGAATCCTGGCTATGGGAGAAACAGTGTCATATACTGGAGGCTGATTCAGAGCATACATGGCCTTCTGGAGAACTTTGCCCCAGCCCTGCAAAGTATTGTCAGCTAGTTGGTGTTGTGATTGTGACTTCAAAAGGCCATTCCACTGTTATATCAAACCAGCTGCTTCAGGATGATGGCAAACATGGTAAGACCAGTGAATTCCATGAGCATGAGACCACTGCTGCACCTCTTTAGATGTAAAGTGAGTGCCTTGGTCAGAGGCAATGCTGTGTGGAATACCATGATGGTGGATAAGACATTCTGCAAGTCCACGATGGTAGTCTTGGCAGAGGCATTGAAAGCAGGATAGGCAAACCCATATCCAGACTAAGTGTCTATTCCAGTGAGGACAAACCTCTGCCCTTTCCATGATATAAGAGGTCCAATATAATCAGCCTGCCACTAGGTAGCTCGCTGATCACCCCAAGGAATGGTGCTATATCGAGCCCTCAGTGTTGGTCTCTGCTGCTGTCATATTTGGCACTCTGCAGTTGCCGTAGCCAGGTCAGCCTTGGTGACTGGAAGTCCATGTTGCTGAGTCCATGCACAACCTCCATTCCTGCCACCATATCCGCTTTGTTCATGTGCCCATTGGGCGATGACAGGGGTGGCTGAGGAAAGAGGCTGAGTGGTGTACACAGAATGAGTCATTCTATCCAGTTGATTATTCAACTCCTCCTCCACTGTGGTCACCCACTGGTGAGCACTAACATGGGATACAAATATTTTCAGTTTTTGACTACTCAGAGAGATCCATCCACATACTTCTTCCCCAAATTTCATTGTCACCAATTTTCCAATTATGCTTCTTTCAAGTCCCTGACCATCCAGCCAAACCATTGGCTACAGCCCATGAATCAGAATATAATTGCACATCTGTCCATTTCTCCTTCAAGGCAAAGTGCACAACCAGGTGCACTTCTAGAAGTTCTGCCCACTGGGAAGAATTCCCTTCACGGCTGTCCTTCAGGGATGTCCTAGAAAGCGGCTGTAGTGCTGCAGCTGTTCACTTTTGAGTGGTGCCTGCGTATCGTGCAGAACCATCTGTGAGCCAGGCCCTAGTCTTCTCTTCCTCTGTCAACTGATCATAGGGAGCACCCCATGAGACCATCAGTGCAGGTTGGGGAAGAGAAGGCAGGGTGGCAGGAGTGGAGTCCATGGGCATTTGAGCTACTTCCTCATGTAACTTACTTGTGCTATCAGTACCTGCTCAAGCCTGATCACATATATACCACTTCCATTTGATGATGGAATGCTGCTGTGCATGACCCACTTTATGGCTAAATGGGTCAGAAAGCACCCAGTTCATGAAAGGCAATTCAGGTTGCATGATGACTTGATCACCCATAGTCAAATGTTCAGTTTCCACCAAAGCCCAGTAACAGACCAAGAGCTGTCTCTCAAAAGGAGAGTAGTTATCTTCAGAAAATGGCAGGACTTTGCCCCAAAATCCTAGATGCCCCCACTGTGATTCACCTATGGGGACCTGCCAAAGGCTTCAAACAGCATTCCTATCTGCCACTGACACCTCAAGCACCATTGGATCTGCTGGGTCATATGGCCCAAGTGGCAGACCAGCTTGCACAGTAGCCTGGACCTGTTGCAGATCCTTCTCCTGTTCTGGACCGCTCTCAAAACTGGCAGCCTTTTGGTTCACTCAATAAATGGGCCAGAGTAACACACCGAAATGAGGAATGTGTTGCCTCCAAAATCCAAATAGGCCCACTAGGCATTGTACCTCTTTTTTGGTTGTAGGATGGGCCAAATGAGGCAACTTATTATTCACCTTAGAAGGAATATCTTGACAGGTCCCACACCACTGGACCCCTAGAAATTTTATTGAGGGTAGAAGGTCCATGAATTGTAGTTGTATTTATTTCCCATCCTCTGGCACACAAATGTCTCACCAGTAAGTCCAGTGTGTTTGCTACTTCTTGCTCACTGTATCCAACAGCATGATGTCATTAATGTCATCATATCAGTGTGCTATCTTGCAGAAGCAAAAAGTGATCAAGGTCTCTCCAAATAAGATAACGACACAAAGCCAGAGAGTTGATATACCCCTGAGGTAGGACAGTAAACGTATATTGCTGAGCTTGCCAGATGAAGGCAAATTGCTTCTGGTGGGTGTTACAGACAGGAATGGAGAAAAAGGCATTTGCCAAGTCAATGGCTGCATACCAGATACCAGGAGATGTGTTAATTTGTTTAAGCAATGAAACCACATCTGGTACAGCAGCTGCAATTGGGGTAACCACTTGGTTAAGCTTACAGTAATCCACTGTCATTCTCCAAGATCCATCTGTCTTCTGCACAGGCCAATGGGAGAGTTGAACAGGGATGTGGTGGGAATCACCACCCCTGTGTCTTTCAAGTCCTTGATGGTGGCACTAATCCTCAATCCCTGCAGGGATGTGATATTGTTTTTGATTTACTATTTTTTATTTACTATTTTGATTTACTATTTTTTCTAGGTACAGGCAGCTCTAGTTTCTTCTATTTGGCCTTTCCCACCATAATAGCCCTCATCCTACCAGTCAGGGAGCCAATGGGGGGGTAGGGTTCTGCCAGCTGCTAAGTATGTCTATGCCAATTATGCATTCTAGCACTGGGGAAATGACCACAGGTTGGGCTCTAGGACCCACTGGACCAACTGTAAGTTGGACCTGAGCTAAAACTCCATTAATTACCTGACCTCCATAAGCCCCTACTTTAACTGGAGGACCACAATGACATTTTGGCTCCCCTGTAATTAACATCAGCTCAGAGCCCCAGTAGTCCCTGAAATATACTATAATGGATAGCAGAGGCAAAGCAGCAATCAGAATCTGATTGCTGCTTTGCCTCTGCTGTCCACTACAGTAGCTACACCATCTTGCTTCTGACAGTTAAGTGCCATCACTTGGCCCGTGCCACCTTGGGATGCAATTATTCCCATTGTATTTAAATTTTCAAGTTGAGTGACTGTGGTTCCCACCATTAGATCTGACATACAGAGAAGAGCAGTTACAGGGCTCTTCAAAGATGCAGATGCTGCCCTCACAAATCTATTTCACAAGGCATTGGTCAAGGGTGTATCTTCTGGACCCTCCCAGCTGGGATGAGTAGGTCTAAAGTGCCATCCACCCCACCATCCCAATCTCCCTAAGCCTTTGGATCCCTTCCTCTACATTAAACCAAGGGAGATCAGGCATTTCCACCTCGCTCACAGTGGGCCATCTTTTAATACATACTTCAGCTAACCAATCAAATAAACTATTAGAAACGTTTTTAAATCCCTGAGCTGCAATATTAAATGCAGAGTCCCTACTTAGTGGGCCCAAAGCAAAAAATTCAGCCTGATCCAACTCTGTGTTTCTTCCACCATTATCCCATACCCTTAATATCCATTCCCATGTCTGTTCTCCAGATTTCTGTTTATATAAATTAGAGAACTCAAGCAGTTCTTTTCAAGTGTAGCACACACCTCCTCCTGGGTCACACTCTCAACCTCACCTCTAGGGGACCACTGGGACTTTAGTCTAGTTAGAGTTCTAGAAGCAAACAGGGGTCTTGGGGGTGGCTCCTGATGAGAATCAACATTATTTTGCCTGGCAACTTGCCTTAGGGGAGGCCATCACTGTTGCCTCAGGCAGCGCAGGGTTTATCTCCTCAGACAAAGGTGGAAAGGCTGATGGTAGCATGGGTTGGGGAGGGAATGTTGCCACTACTGGGGATGGTGAAGCTGTTCCTTCTGGCAAGATAGCTTCGTTAGAGTTTACAAACTCAGTATCCCCAGCTTCATCAGGGTGCTCCCATAGGTCCTCATTCCAAGTTGCAGGGTCCCATTATTTTCCAATCAATGCCCTCACTTTAACGGTAGACACCTGGCAAGGCTGTGCATGCACCTTTCATTTCAGGTCAGCCATTTGCATGATAAGAACTTGTGTCTGTTTTTCCACAATTTCAACTCTTTCTCTACAGGAGATAAGACTCTCACTCAGGGCACTCTTAACAGATTTGATGCTCGGTATCTGCTTCTGAAGCCAGGAGATATAATCCCTGAGTTCAGCACTTTCCTTCATCACTTTGTCTGCTGAACTTAGGAGCAACCAACCAGCTTCATTATGTTCCTTGGTTCTCCACATACGGTCAAAGGCATTATATACGGAGTCACTAAACTCCTTGCCTCTCATGAGTGGTGAATCAGGAGTGCCAAAAGCATTTATTTTGCATAACTCTCTAAACAGTTCATGCCAAGGACTATTAGAGTTCTTCATACTGTTAAATGTAGAGTCCTTAGCATTTTGGGGTCTAATCATATTAAGCGGCCAACACCAGAAACCCCAAAACCAATGAAATAACTCCATCCTTAATATTCTCTTCCTTTAGAACCACTCCTGGTACCAAAATCTATATTAGTCAGGGTTCCCTAGAGGGACAGAACTACAGGGACAGGAGATATATGTATCTATATGTATGTATGGAGATACATGTATATGTGTATGGAGATACATATATGTATGGAGATATATATATATGTATGGATATATATCTATGTATGGAGATATATATGTATGGAGATATATATATGTGTGCGTGTGTGTGTATATATATATATGTATATGAGAGTTTACTAAGTACTAACTTGCACAATCACAAGGTCCCACAATAAGCTGTCTACAGACTTGAGGAGCAAGGAGACCCAGTCAAATCTCAAAACTGAAGAACCTGGTGTCCAGTGATTGAGGGCAGGAGGCGTCCAGCACAGGAGGAAGATGTAGGCTGGGAGGCTAGGCCAGTCTCAGCTTTTCACATTTTTCTGCCTGTTTATATCTGCTGGCAGCCGATTAGATTGTGCCCACCAGATTAAGGGTGGATCTGCCTTCCCCAGCCCACTGACTCAAATGTTAATCTTCTTTGACAACACCCTCACAGACACACCCAGCATCAATACTTTGCATCTTTCAATCCAGTCATGTTGGCACTCAGTATTAACCAACACAACTGCTTTTATTGATTGTTATTGAGTTTGAGTTATTTTGACTTCACTTTTCCCACCCATTATGTTTAATCCATTCACTAACAACTGCTATTTCTCTTCCTGCTCCATTATTTTCACATCTATCTCCATAAAGGAGGTGCTCATACCAGAATCCTGAATTTTTGCAATGCCCTGAAACACTTTTCTCGCACTTTCTATGTGGCCTTAAATCTATCCTGCTCCCCAGAGTTAAATGGCATTTATATAACACTATTTTGATGATAATTCGCTTTCTCTTAAAATGTTTAAGGAGATTCCTCTTTTTTTGTGAAATGTTTTAACATGACTTCTAAGACCTAAATTTATGTAACAACTACCTGTTTTCCCAATCCTTCATTGTGTTAATCATTCACATGTGTTCATTCTTTTTTATAGAGGCTTCCATGGGTGATCTCCTGAACACTTCATCCTTACCCCTTGCCTTTTTGAACTCATGGTATGCTCTAGGCCTGGATTCCCTGCCCATCTCCCTTCACCAATAAACATTAAACCTAAGCTCCTATCCCTCATCTTTGTCTTTTATGAGGCCTACTCTTGTAATAACTTCACGGGGTAATCTCACAGCCAATGCCTTTGTCATTCATTCTTTCAGCTATTTCCCCCCTTCGATTATTATGTAAGTATTTCTCCCTGAGTATCATCTAAACTAAAACCTTCCCAGCATTTCTATGTATCTTGTACTCAAATCATCCAGCAAAATGCTGGGGTTGTGGAAGAAATGTATGCTTAGACGCATAAGCATAGATGCATTGATAGATGAAAATGTTTGATAATGAGATACTCTAATTTTCATTAATACAAAACGTTCCAAATAAGTGTATTCACTGTTTAGGTGTTAAGCATTCAAAACAATGAATCAGTACTAGGGGTGGGCATTTTGGCTATTCATAGCTTTAAGTTAACAAAACTGATACTGGTTTATATCTGGGCTCTCTACTTATTTTAATATTGTTTAGCAAGTTGTGATACTCTGTTTAAGCTCCCCGTTATAATATTCCTCTAATCAATGTTTTCTAATGTTTCTTTCCTTTATGCCATTTCAGAACCATTTCAAGCTATAGTGGTGGTAAATTACTCTGGTCTGATCACTGTATGCCCTATTCATGACTACCCCAGCCCTATGTTTCATTTCATTTCATTTCATTATATAGCCTGCAACACCTAAACCTTTCACTAGTTCCCCAACCTGTAACTTAACCTTTAAATATAAAGCTAAAAATTGTCTCTGTCACAGAAGATGCCAGAATTCATGAAACTCTTTCTTTACCAATACTTGGGTAGGAAAAATAAAAGTCACCATTTTATACCTACCCACATTAATATGAATAAATACCAATTTTCTAGTTTCAAAATGGAGCTTATTGTGGAAATGTACAATGATGCAGTCAGTGTGAAAAACTGCAATGCTTCTTCTAGAAGTTATACATGGAATTACATATGACCCAATAATTCAACTCCTAAGTATTTGCCCAAAATAATTAAAAACAAGAATTCAAATAAAAACTTGTACATAAATGTGCATAGAATAATTATTCATGATATTTACAAGATGAAAACAACCCACATTTCCTTAAGCAGATGAATGAATAAGCAAAATGTGGTATATCTAGATAATAGAATATTATTTAGCCACAAAAAGGACCAAAGTACTGATTCATACATGCTACAACATGGATAAACCTAGGGGAAAGAAGCCAGTCACCAAAGACCACATATGTTGTGATTCCATTCACATAGAATATACTGAATAGGCAAATAAACAGAAGCAGAAAGTAGATGACTGTTTGCTTAATGCTGGAGGCAGGGAATAGGAATCAAAGGATAGCTAAAGGGTACAGGATCTTTCTTTGTGGTGATGAAATATTCTAAAATTCACTATGGTGACTGTTGCTCATATCCATGCATACACTAAAATGATTGAATTTTACATTTTAAATGGGTGGATTATAGTATAAAAATGAACTGTTTAGTAAATTGACCTTAGAGTAATTTGTTTCTGTTTAGATAAATGATCATCTACAATGAGAGGTTTATTCATAGATAATGGAAGAGTAAAAAGAAAACAAGCCAATTTCAATGCTTCCTCCTGACATCCTCACCTCATTGGAAAGGAAGAAAAGGAGCTGTTCTTAAAGAGGGGAATGCATTAAGGGCTGTGATTTCTATCCATTTCAGGGCAGCACTAATGTTAGTGCTGACTAACAGTAACTTTAACATGCTAACGTTAACAAAGTCAAGAGTCCTCAGAGAACTAAATCATTTCACTACAAGTCAAGGGAAAGACAGGAAGTCTGGAAGAAGGTCCCAGGCAGATACCATAGCATTAGCATGTGCCAACTGTGTGTATATTTACCTTAGATTTTGTGGGAAATGAGTCAGAAGATCCTCCTTTCTTATATGGTCAACTGGATATAGTCAGATTTTTATTGCCAGGGGACAGCATTTGAGTGTCAAACAACCTAATCATTTGGAGGCTGAACAGATGTTTAGGAGTGCTGAATGCATAAGTCTCTGAAGATTGTAGCATCCTAGGTAAAAAACAAACAAACAAAAAAACCTCATTAGACCTCTTAAAACAAATATCATGAATGCTGAAATCCAACTTATTGTGTTAAAAAATTTGTTTTTAATTCCTCTATATGAAATCCTATTAGCCAGCTTTATATAGAGGGTTTACAGTTTTTATTTTAGGAAATGATCTAAGGATCAAGAAAGAAAGTCACATTACTTAAGAAGATGAGGACCCTGAGTAGGCAAGTTTCAGGGACTGTTGACCAAAGCATTGCATTATTGTTCCTGCCTTCCTGGATTCAGCCCCTGAATTATCTCATTTTCACTAATGTACAGAATGATTGTTCTAAAAGTATATCTCACATGTCCAGGAAAATAGCCATAAATGATATCCAGGGCTGCAACTGTTGTCTGATAATTCTTTCCTTTGAATCCATTCCAAAACATAAAAAATAAGAAAATTATAAATGTAAACACCACCTGTCATCAGTTACAAGCCATTTCCTTCCACTACCAGAGGCTTTCTGTGAAAGAAAACAAAATTCTTTATATGACACTTTTTTTAAAAAAAAAAAGAATTAGCAAAGAGTAGTTTTTAAGAGCTCTAGATTCTGATTAACTTAGCTAATTTCCCACTGTTGTTTAATAAATTGGATTGTTAATGCAAAGGCCAATGAATTTTCTAATGACGATAGTAGAATATAGACCACAAGTAGCATGACTTTTCTCCTTTCACCTACCCAATTTAGAGTGAAAATATTAGGCCACCAGAGAAGAGACTTTCTGAATAAATGTTTTAAAAATGCTATCATTTTCAGTCTAAAAATCAAATATTTTTAATAGTATAAACAAAATATATCATTTGGATTGCATATTAATCTTCTATTACTAGTAGCATTGATAGCATCTACATAGGTCTGCATCTTGTCAATGAAAAACAAGGGCAAATATATACCCAGGGCAGTTGGCACCAGACACTGCCCTGCTCACAAGTGCTGTTTATAGTAGAAACTTTTAAAAACCATAGACACACATATACATGCCCGGCATACATTTTCAAATCTATCTCTTTTTTTTTTCCATTTTTTTCACTCCCTTTGTTTCTCCTCTAATATTCTACTACTTCCTTTACTCTTGATATATTTAACATAACGCTGATATACTAGAAAAATTCAAATGCCATGCTGCATGCTGGAAAATGTGTGTGATTAGCCATAGTCACTCAATTATACCCCTTCTGATATTTTTACATACCTCACTATGAAGTACTTCCTGTGTGTGTATGTGTTTCTTGGCAGTTATAGCATGTGACAGTGTAAAATCACTGGTCTGACAAATGACTGTATATTTCTCTTGGGTGAAATTTTTTAAAAAGTGCCCACATTCATACTCCTTGCATCTTCCATCTCCTTCTCCACACACTGTGCACTATTGAGTGGTGTCTTTGATTAGAGTACATGAACCAGAAAAGAAGAATGGGCTCCTGCTGAAAAGAAGAAAATCCCATTGATAACTCTTGGGTTGTTTGCCCACTTACCTGGAAATGGCTCAACAAGGCGTGGCATTAAAAGGAATGTTGGAATTTTTCTCCTCTGCTTGCGAAGCAAAAGATTAGAAAACACTAAGTTTCTGTAATTATAATAAGTAAAACGGTTAAAGTTTGCCTAGACTGAGATTAAATCAGGAGTATAAAATATAATCAGGACCCAGCATAAATTAGTCATAGTCAGCTCACTGAGAAACATGCCAACAGGCTGAGAGATATTTGACTTGATTTGATTCTCCTTTTATCTTAATTTTTTTCTATTTTTACCCTTTTTCTCATTGTTAAGTCTTATAAATGTATATACTCGCTCACCCACTGCTGGTTTTTTTTTTTTTCAGGATTAAATAATTTGTTACAAGTCTTTTATAATTTGTTACCCCTTGCATTTTATTTTACCAAACCCTCAGTCCACAAAAATTCCATGAAGTAAGTTAATTCTTCCTTCCTCTTCACTGTAGAAGAAAAGGCAGTATAATGTATAGCCGTGTTTTACAAGAGAACAAATCTTTTTCTGTGGTGGTGACAACATGGAACTACGTATCACTTCGTCCTACAAAGAAAGTTGTCCTATGTTCAGGACAGACTCAAATGGGAGTGAATGGCACTGACAAACTGGTCGTACAAATTAGGTCTTTATCATAAATTCATAGGGTGGCTTTTTAAGGGCATTATATACGTACTTGAAGTGTGTTTTATATCATTTTCTGACCTTGGAATGTAGAGTTAAACTTAGGAAACACTGATATGGATCAAACTTCATAGTCATAAAAGAAATATCTCATGATTTTATATTATAAGCATCTTGCTCAGCACCTCTCCTTGGCCTTGCCATCCCTGCCCCACTCCATATTGAAAGTAATGGGTACAGTAGAATGCTTAGGAGTAAGTGTGACTTCCTAGGCTGTAGACACCTATATGGTGTCATCCACCCTGAGTTGGATGGGTGACAGCTAGAGTCTAATCACTTCCTGGATAGACCAGAGCAGGGCCATCAACTTCTACTAGGAAACAACTCCTGGAGTGCTGGGAGCCACCTTTGCATTCTCATCATGCAGACCCCAAATATGTTTGTTGAAATTAAAGTGATTTAATGAAATTTAAGAAAATGTAAGAGGCCTTTTATCTCCTTTCTCACTCTTCTTTCCTCTGAACTCAGGGTGAAATTCTGTTGACATTTTTTGTTGGAAATGTGATTGGGTGTTATGTAAACTTTAGTGTGTTCCTTATCTTAGAAGACTAAATTAGTGCCAGACATAAACATGAGTTAGCTCATAATAGTGGATTAGACCTCTGATAAAAAGAAAGCCTCAAAGAGTGGAGCAAAAAAGATAATGATCTTGCACTATTGCAGTGGAGGCTGAAGCAGCTGACAAGCAAAGGGCTTGGGGAAAAAGAAGAAAACTATGGAGACCTTGGATGCCCATGGGTATAAAGCCTGGCTGCAAGGGAGCAGGAAAAACAGAAGTGACCTACTTTTTAGTTATACCTCAAGAAGGTATCCTTGGGACTTAGTTTTGAGTTCATACACATGTAATTCTTCCCTTGAGTCATTTTATCCCTAATATTTACTGTTAAACATTTTATAATAAAAGATTCAAGTTTGTATATTTATATAAATATATCTACCCACATGCATATGAACCGTTCAATTTTTTTTTCTTTGAATAGGTAAGGTTTTGTCTGAGAATGAATGATAATACAAAAAGAAACAATTCTTGATCAGAAAAGGATTTTTCATATAGAAACAAAGTGATTCACAATCAAGATCAGCCACTTCAGGCCAGACACTACATAAACATAGATAAATACTCAAATCAATCAACTAAACAACCATCTTCTGTACTTGGAGTCTGAAGGAAAAATGTGGTTCTTCAATAGACCTTGAGACTTTAACAGAAAAAAATATGTTTTTAGCTCTGTTGCCAGTTACTTGGCATTTCTAACCTTAGAGCAAGGACACTAGCCTATTCTCATATTGTTCAGAGAGCTATATATGGGTATATATCTGTTCCACAAGCATTGATTGAGTGACTAATTGATTGAGCACTTAATGCTCCAAATATACCCTTGAATTGCATAAACTTCTTGCTCTGAAAGCTCAAACAATTGAAAGATAGATGTGCAAACACATGTATAAGTTAATAACAACAGTAAGTATGTGTACCATGTTTGCTGTGTGCCAGGTCCTGTTTTTATATATTCTCATTCAATCCTCAGAGAGACCCTATGAGGAGGCAACGGCATTATCCTAGTTCACAGATAAGAAACACAGACAGACTAAATTAACTTCTTCAAAGTCACACACCTATTAAATGATAGAGTGAGAATGTGCACCTAGGTAATTTTAACCACAGTTTCATGATGGAAAATTGTGGGAATTTAAATGAGGGAAGTTGTTATGAGTAAGTAAAAGTATCATAAGGATAAATAAAACTGAGTTTGTTCTTTAAAAATACGTAAGTAAGAGGGCCAGGTAGAGAGGAAGAAGAGTCAGGGATCTACATTTTGGGCAGAGGCATTTTTGTTAATAATTTATTTTACTAACCAAGGCTTCTATACAATAGATTTGGCTTCTTCTATTCAATTAACTACACTTCAATTAAGGACAAGGAAAAACATTGTTTTCTTAACATGCCACTCTTAAATAAATTGGCCACTGTTATGGAGTGAGGAAATAAATAGTCTGGTTGATCAATTCCATGTGGTGGAGTGGGGTGGGCATTATTGATTTGATGTAATATAGAGCTGATAAGAAAACATCTACCTGATGTAAAATATTTCCACTACCATCCTACTTAGGCCTTGGTGTTACATCATTTAAGGCAGAAGGTGTTATCTGGAAGGAATAAGCCCTTTGATGATCATCAACACATTAGCTCACATTAGTTTTATCAGTTCCCTAGCAGAGAGCAAATGGCCGAAGGCTAGGCAAGTGAGGCAGAGGATAAATATGTTCTGACTGGTAAAATTCAGAAAGGAGGAGAAGAAAACAGTGAGGAAAGGGCCTCTCCATGGGTGCTGAAACAGGCTGAAATGGGCAACGGTGCTGGGTCAGGGGGAGTGGCAAGGGCATTACTGCAGTCTTAGTTTTGTAACCAGATGTTGTACTCAAATGCCCAGGAGTGTTGACCTTGGAAATATAGTTTCAAAAAGAAAGAAAGAAATTTTTTTCTTCCTGTGAGTGGGGAGCTAGGACAATCATCTACATCCTGAAGGGGCAGGATGGGAAGGAAACAAATCTTGGGGTTCAAATGTCTTCCTTGACTGATTATATGTAGAGAGTGTCTGAAAATGTTAGAGCTTAGAGGCCATCCAGTTCCCTCCACTGGGTCTCAGGCTTGAGATCCAGGGTTACCCTGTCAATTCAGTTGTCCCCACAATGCATAGTGTAACCTTCATATGTTTTGCTGTCCTTGATGGAATAGGTCACCTTATCTGCTGTCAGGCATTATCTTACAAACTCTGATAATCTTCTCAAGAGCATAATACACCTTGCAGAAACATGCTGACACTGAGTGGGATAGGTGCCTCATTTCATCCTCTCTTTCACTGCTTTACTTCCTCTCAAGAATAGAAACCTGGATCCAAAGAAGATATATAGTGAAGGATGCCAGAGTCAGCAAATAAAAATAAAGGATGTCCAGTTAAATTTCAATTTCAGATAGTAGCACTTTGGGGGCATGAGTATATCCCGTGGAATATTTAAGACATGACTGATACTAAAAATAATTCGTATTCATCTGAAATTCAAATTTAACTGAATGCCCTGTATTTTATCTGGCAGTCCTGCCTGTACATGGCAGAATAGATATAGCATAGGCCTTTGTGTTTAACAGAACATGAATTTCAATGCCAGCTTTGCTACCAAGCAGATGTGTGCATTTAAAGAAATTACTTAGTCTCTCTGAGCCTATTTCCTCCCTTGAAGAATGAAAATAATATTAATATCTATCATAGGGTTGGTGAGAGGATTAAATAAGCTAATACATGAGCTGTATGGTGGAATGTCTGCAAATTGAAGTCTTGATAAATGATGGCTCCATCTGGAACACAGCAGCATTCAGAGGGTCCTATGAAAACTGATAACAGTTATTATTGATGGAATTTAATTCTCTACTTTTTTAACAGTGTTTTCATTGTCTAAATGCATGATCAATATTTAATTTTCATGTAAATTTCAATATGTTTTAAATTTCTGAAAGGCTTAGGGGTTGCTTTTATATAAAATATTTCATAATCAAATAGAAAGCTATCAAGGCTGATGTTTCCTTGCAAATTAAATCTCTAAAAACTTGCTTGTTATACTCCTGTGCTTGATTGCCAAAGCTGTACAGTAACCCTGCCAATTGCCACTCTCCCTTTATAACCTACTAGTTCAAGTGAATTCTGCAATACAACTTCCTGCCAGTGAGTACTCTTTGTATATGTCTCCCTCTCTTTATCTGTCTTTCCTACACACACACACACACACAGAGAGAGAGAGAGAGAGAGAGAGAGAGAGAGAGCCCGAGAGAGACGCTTACCTGCTCTTGCCTGAGAAAAAAATAAAAGCCCATTTATCTGTCTCAGAAAGAAAAGGGTAGGTGTTCTAGAGATTTTTTAAAAATGTATTTTCTATTTAGAGGGGAGAAAGAGAAAGAAAGAGGAAGAGAGATAACCCCCAAGAAAGTCAAACTATCTATTTATTTAGTTATGTGTTTTAGGTTGCATTTTGCATTAATCACTGCCACACACAGGAGCCCTGCAATTTATTATTGGTGATAAGTGTGGACAGTAGCTATTATTTTCTCTCCCTGTTCTAAAATGTGGCATAGTGGGACACTTAGATTTATGGAACATGCATTATTCAAAACTCTAGTTCTGGGATGGCTCAGCAGGAAGACTCCTAGCTATTTCCGTAACCCTTTTTCAAAATTTCTCCTCACTTGCTTTCTTCGTTTCCATATCGTGGTGTTAGAAATCACTCAAAACTCAGAAGTGGGAGAATTCATCATGGAAATCTATCAGTCCAGCATCTTTCACAAAGGGGAATGAGTAGGAACTCCCTATTCTGCAAAATCCAAGAAACCCTTAGAGGAAGCAAGTAGATTTTTATTGGTAGTAAAGAGATGAGCACCTAATACTCTAGGAGATTCCTAAGGTGTTAAAGACCCACATGGTACAGATACGTTCCTCCTAAACTTGAGTATGCTTGTGCTGATAATTATTTATCTTTAATCATGTTTGGATATATTTTGCTCAGTACTCTAGTGTCATGTATGTGCAAGGTATTTGAAGGGAAGAAAAACAAATTAGAAATTTGAGAATAGTAGTCAATAAAATTAATTAAGAAGTAGAAAATATGTCCATCTATATATATTAACACTGATACATGTAAAGTGAATGAATATACAAATGTAAACCATTTAGAATTGTCAAAGTAAAATACAATTGCTAGTAGTAATGTATGTGGACACTTTTATGGGCGGTTCTATATAAGTGTGAATAAGGTATAATTTAAAAATATTCAGCTTGTTGATTCAGCATAAGAAATCTCTCTGAAAATGGCTCTGGACTAATATGAGAGGTGTAAGCTTTAACAAGGGTGAGTTGAGATACTCACCCTTGTTTGAAAATGGCATTTTCAAACTTAGATTGAAAATGGCATTTTGATGTCATGGTAACCTAAAAAGGATCAATAGGAAAATGTAATCCTTGGCTATAAACAATACAGAAGAGACAGATAATACAGGGGTGTGGTTAGCAGCCTCACTTCAAGATAGCTGCTCTGTAGTTGTAATCCTAGTTAACAATTATTTCTCTAGCTTTCAAATGGCTAGTTCTCTACTCCCTTTCTTTAGATGTGTGAAACTTATATTCTTTAGTTTCTAAATGCTTAACTTTGTGCCATCATCTATATTCTGTTGTGTTTTTGTATGACACATAACCATTTATGGACGCCTACTATATGGGAGCCATTCTGCTATTTGTTTTTAATGTATTCAAGATCTTAGTGAATTTCAAACATTCTTAAGAAGTTTTTCTTAATAGTCCCATTTTAGAGATGCTGAAAAGGTGGGGGAAAGATTGGTTGCTGAATTCTTAAGGAATTTCTCAATATTGATAAATTTGTTTCTCAACATTGGTAAGAGAGTGTGACTTTGGTTCACAGAAAATAGCAATTAACTGAGACTTAATACTGTGATTTATGGCAATTCCCTTAGCTAGAGGATTCTGGAAACAACTCAGCAATGAAAGTACCATCCAGGGAGTTCAAGTTGGAGCTACTGGATCTCCCTCTCCAGGCCTACTTCAGTATAGCATAGTGGTTAAAGACTGGGACCAGACTACTCAGGTTTTAATCCCAGTCATGCCACGCGTATACTAGTGTATGGTCTTGGGCAAGTTACCCAAGTGGGAAGAGTGATAGTCGTCATGTCATGGATTTGTTGTGAAGAGTAAATGAGTAAATAACTATATAGTACTTAAGGCAGTGCCTGACACATAGTGAATGCTATGTAACTGTTAGCTATTTAATTACCTGCATTCTTGTATTCTGAGCTGACTGAGACTGCAACAAGATTTTTTTCCATGAGGAATAAGCAGAGACCTTTAACCAAGAGCAAGGCTCTGCTAAGGTGGAGTGGAGAGATAATACATTACCTTGACTCTCCACTCCTGTCTTCTCAGGCCAGTTCACCATTTTCTAAGGAAAGCAGAAATGACAATTCAGACCATTTGAATATCTTATGATTCTAATTGGAGAGAATGAGAACATGCAATCAGATATCAAAAATCCAAGGTCACCCCTTTTGTGGTAACTTTCTGAAAAAAGCCTCTTCCCAAAATGGCGAATTTATCTTTCATGACTTATCACATTGTAGAATATTCTGCTCACTAAGGTGAGAAGCATTCTTAAAACAGCACTCCTTTCTTTATTTCTTTGTTTACTTGATTGGTGCGTGTGTAGGGGTAGCTTGGGGAAAATAAGGATTGCTAGGGAAAAAGAGGAAACAGGACAATGAAAGTGTTTAGAAAAAGTCGACTCAATTGTTCCATGTTTGTGTTAGAATTCCAGGTGAGACTAAGACCTCTGGGGTCAATATGGGGTTGAAGAAGGTGGTCAAAATAGTGGGCTGAGGAACCTGCAGAAAACTCAAGAGAAATTACCATTCAGGCTATGAACTATTTAAGAATAAGTTTAAATTAACTTCAAAGCATTAATCTATGTTTTCAGTTACTAAAGAAATAAAAGGATAGGCTAGAGAGAAGCCATATTTTTATAATATGCCTTGTATATATTTTTTCTGTTAACACTAAATACATGTCCACTGATGTATGTATAAAATATATATCTATCTCAACACCCAGATATAACCAATCTTAACATTTTTATGTATAGTTTCTCACCTTTTTCTATGCATATATGCAGTGGTGCTATTAATACTATTTAACAATCAGTATGAAAATATAAATTAATAAATAAATCAATACATCAATCCCAAAAATTTAAATTCCACCGTATTTTCTTTTTTTTTTCTTTTTTTTTTTTTTTTTGAGACGGAGTCTCGCTCTGTCGTCCAGGCTGCAGTGCAGTGGCACAATCTCGGCTCACTTCAAGCTCCGCCTCCCAGGTTCACGCCATTCTCCTGCCTCAACCTCCCGAGTAGCTGGGACTACAGGCACATGCCACCACACCCAGCTAATTTTTTGTGTTTTTAGTAGAGGTGGGGTTTCACCGTGTTAGCCAGGATGGTCTCGATCTCCCCTCGTGATCCGCCCACCTCGGCCTCCCAAAGTGCTGGGATTACAGGCGTGAGCCACCGTGCATATTTTCTAAATATATTCAATGGTATATGTTACAAATCTGCTTACCAAGCAACACAAGCCATGGTATAAATTTTTCATTAACTCATTCTTAAAAATTTCCAAATAAGTGGATTTTTAGAGATAACTGCTGTCCTCTGCTCTCTCACATGTAGCCTTTTATTTTATGCTTCTGCCAACAAGGAAATGACGCTCCAATCTTCATCATGATTTGACATAGCAAACCCTATCAAATTCTCCCAGTAATGTTCCTGTTAAAGTGATAGTCATTGGATGATTGCAGTCCCAATTAGAGGGTTTCTCTTCTATTATATTGTCAGTAGCACTTAATCGGTTTTCAGCTTGTGCTCAACTAGATAGGATAATAAAAGTATTCTAGCCCTTAACATATTTCCTGATATTTTAAAAATATAGTAAATACCTTGATTATTGACTCATTCGCAAATACCTTTTATTGGAAAGACATATTTGAATTGATGGAAAGTGCGTTTTTATTCCAAGCAAGAAGTAGTACAGTAAGACGATAAAAACAGATCTTTTGTTAGGCTTCTTGGGCTATAATTCTTTCTCTGCTACTTAAATTTTAATTAATTCTCTATGCCTCAGTTACCTTACCCAAAATATGGGAGTATTGATTGAATTTATAATACTCAAGTGAATGTATTTTAAAACAGGTACCTATAAAGCATATTTTATATAAGACTGGCTGTAAGGTTATAAATAAAATTAATGTTAATGCCCATGACCATCAAGCATTTGATGATTTATCTTAAGGTTTTATTAAATAGAGGTAAACTGTCCCATCAAATTGATATTACATTCAAAAGGATGGAAAAACGGATAGTTCCACATGAGCCTTCCACTTGTCTCTAGTGGAATAGATGCACACATGTTCCATCTGTCCCCTTCAGCCTTCTTCCTATCTTTAGATTGTTGTCCATTCCATCAGAGCCTAAAATACTAGGCTCTGATTTGTGTCAGTGGCAGCTCCCATTATTTCTTCTTCTTTTTTTTTTCTTGGCTTTTCCAGGTGCCAAATATTTCTTATTTATTTATTTAGAGACGGAGTCTTGCTTTGTTGCCCAGGCTGGTGCAATCTCAGCTCGCTGCAACCTCTGCTTCCTGGATTCAAGTGATTCTCCTGCCTCAGCCTCCTGAGTAGCTGGGATTACAGATGTGCACCACCACGCCCCACTAATTTTTGTATTTTAATAGAGATGGGGTTTCCCCCTGTTGGCCAGGCTGGTCTCGAACTCCTGACCTCAAGTGATCCGCCTGCCTTGGCCTCCCAAAGTGCTGGAATTACAAGCGTGAGCCACGGCGCCTAACCCCAGACCCCAGGTATTTCAGAAGTGGGCAGCTGAGTATCAAACACATGTCCACTAGGACATTCATTAGCCACCTCCAGGAGAGCTGTTGCTAACATCAACAGCTGGCTTGCTGGTGGTTGAGAGGTTAAGAAGTAACACAGTATGATTCCCTGGGATGCATGCCTAGGGGTCCTGGTCTAGGCTCCAGTGGTCCTTAAGGGATATGGCATTTGAGAACCTCAGGACAGTGGTTATTTGCTCACCTGTACAGAAATTTCACTATATATTAAAAGCCACTAGCACTTACTGGTGTGCTTGTTGAAAAATCAGCCCTGTACCAATGTATATATAACTTCTCATGCTTCTATTAATATTTAACAACATATGGTAAACATTGTTTACAAAGCCATTTTTTAATAGTAAAACATCCTGAATAAAATTTAAGACTTCTCTAATTTCCTCAGTCTCTTCATTCCTCTTCAGAGTCGTGGATTTGGTCTTACAAATTCGGGTGTCTTGTATCAAAGAAGTTATCAAAATATTTTAAAAAAAGAATTTTTAAATTTTCTGTTTTCAAATGTATCAAGCACACTCTATTTTGAGATTTAAAGGCTTATTAGAAGGTTACATCTACTTGGAAGGAAGTTTGAACAATAGACATTGCAGAAAACACCATACTAAAAAAAAAAGATTAGCAAAAATGCTGAAGAAAAAATTCTGTGAAATCTCTTTAGAGTGCTGTGTTTTTCATAGTTCCCTTGGTTTATAGTTGATTTTTAAATAGGGAGATACTGTCACAGCCTGGACTTATGGAATGCTAATGTTGTACTATATCATTCATTTACTCCTACTCATTAGTCATGAATATGGATGACATTTACTCCTGTAATTAAAATATAGTCTAGTAATTTACACCTGAATTAAATTACAGCCTTAAAATAGGTTCTCCATGGAATCCTGTTAAAGTAACTCTGAGTTATTTTATTCTTGTTCTCATGTTGAGTAATAATACTGACAAAGTCTTGGCCCAACACTCCTCCAATTCTCTTGCTATTACTCAAAGACACTCCTAAATTCTTCTTTCCATGTTTCAGACTCATTAGTGACAGTTTGATTATACATTTACTTGGTGGACATCTAGTCTACTTCTAAACTCATGAATAAAGCAAAAATTTTTTTCTATATTTCTATACCATATTTGACATCCCTTTTGTTCTGATACTTGTCACTTTGTAACTTGTCTTTCTGTTTCTTACCTTCACTAAAATATATAGTTCTAGAGAACAGATATTTGTCTAGTTCAGGTTTAGCATAGCAGCTTATGCATAGAAGGTATTCAAAAATGAGTTGGTGTATAACTAAACAAGCAAGGAATGCTATAAGAACTTCCACAGAGGATAAAACTATGAATTATTATCTCAGTGATTATTTTGTATTATAGTTTTAAAAAGAGATAAAGAGGTACACTTAGAAGAATATAATTACTGTTTTCAATTATAATTGCTTCAAAGTGTGAGGGATGTATTCTAAATACCTGTAACTCCCTCCTAAATACACTTTATGAATCTGTCATTCATAGTTTTACCTAAACTGTTCTCCATCTGTGTATTCTAGGGTAGAAAGCTGAAATGTTTACTATTACCTTTGTAAGACAGCACTTTTTTAAAGCTACTTCAAGCCTCAGAGGGTGTCTTCTGTTTTATTATATGGGAATTATGTAGGTAAGATCCCTTTTATCTGATCCATAACCTTTATTGGTTTAGGGCTCATATCCCTTAGCAACCTCACTGAAGCAGTGTGAAGAGCTCCTACAGCTCTGGTCTGCCATCACACTGCATGCACATCGCTACCCACTTCCATTCCCTTGGCAATTTTAACTACCCAGGTCTGTATTTATTTATTTTTAAAAATGACAAAATAAGGTATGCCATTTTAAAGGAGAAAAAAATTGTGATTTTTGTCATAAGTAAAATGATGATATGGATTTTATTTATAACCCTCTTTCAGATGAAGGCCAGCCTCTTTTTATCTTTTTATTCTACAGAAAAGTTAGTTCAGGTTTCCTAAGTATTAATCAGGACAGCGTCTAACATCCTTCCTAGATTGTACCTTTTAGGTATACCCTTCATGAAAGGCCCATACTATACTTCTGAAGATTTTTTTTTTTTTTTTTTTTTTTTTTTTTTTTTTTTTTGAGACGGAGTCTCGCTGTCGCCCAGGCTGGAGTGCAGTGGCGCAATCTCGGCTCACTGCAGGCTCCGCCCCCTGGGGTTCACGCCATTCTCCTGCCTCAGCCTCCCGAGTAGCTGGGACTACAGGCGCCCGCCACCTCGCCCGGCTAATTTTTTGTATTTTTAGTAGAGACGGGGTTTCACCGTGTTAGCCAGGATGGTCTCGATCTCCTGACCTCGTGATCCGCCCGCCTCGGCCTCCCAAAGTGCTGGGATTACAGGCGTGAGCCACCGCGCCCGGCCTGAAGATTTTTTATAAAGGAATTCGAACATGGTGAAGTAGGAGCCATTTATTAGCTACTCTGTGTGTGTGTGTGTGTGTGCGCGCGCGTGCATTTAAGTGTATATTTAAAAAGTTATAAAACCTAAATCTGAAATTTTATTGTTCATCTCATTTTCTAGGACAAACAGTAGTTGAAATGGGGCACAACAAACATAAATGGGTAAACCCATCAAACTTTTTCACCCAAATATATATAGGTTGAGTATTTCTTATCTGCAATGCTTAGGACCAGATGTGTTTCAGAATTCAGATCTTTTTGTAAAATTTTTGGAATATTTGCATATATATAATGAGATTTCTTGGGGATGGGACCTAAGTCTAAACATGATATGCATTTGTTTCTTATATACCATATACATACAATCTGATGGTAATTTTATACAATATTTTAAATAATTTTGTGCATAAAACAAAGTTTGCATTAAGTACTTATGTATAGAATGTTCACCTTGTAGTATCATGTCAGTGCTCAAAAGCTGTAGATTTTGGATTATTTTGAAGTTTGAACTTTTAAAATAAGGGTTGTTCAACCTGTGTTGACCAGTTTGATTTTTATCTTTACCTACTGTCTTAGTCCATTTGTGCTGCTGTAATAAAATACCATGGACTGAGTAATCTATTCGCAATAAAAATTTATTCCTCACAGTTCTGGATGCTGAGAAATCCAGATCAAGGTGCTGGCAGATTCAATATCTAGTAAGGCCCTACTTGCTGTGTCCTCACATGGTGGAAGAGCAAAAAGGGGTCTAAGCTATTTCCCTCCAGCCCCTTGATAAGTCACTAATCTTTTCATGAGGGCTGAGGCCTCACGACAATCATCTCTCAAAAGGCTTTACCTCTTAATACCACCACAACAGTAATAAACTTTTGACACATGAATTATGGGGGACATTCAGACCATGCCATTTACATTTATATTTGCCTCCTGTGATTATTAGCCCATATTTTGTTATTGTTGTTAACAACTTTTTAACTAGCAATTATCATAAGAGACTTTTTACAGAGATCTATAGAAATAACTGCTACTGAGTCATATTATTCGCCTTTTTTTCGAAAACCCTACCTAATTAATGAGCATATGCCTTCATTAAGTTTTATTTATTCAATAATCCTATACCTCAATACTTCAATAGATACTGCATTTGAGATCTCTCTCTCTCTTTCTTTCTCTCTCTCTCTCTCTCTGTCTCTCACTGTCTCTCTCTCTCGCCTTCCCTCCCTCTCCTCTCTGTCTCTCTTTTTAATTAGAACTAGAAGGGGTATTTTAGAATTAAGAGTGGTAGTATGACCCTAGCAGGAAGAAGAATTTAGAGAAATACTACTACTAATAATATAATAAAGCCAACCTCTATTGTGTTTTTCCTTTGTGTTAATAATTTAAAGTGCTTCTAACGTACTTTGAATATATTATATCATTTAATCCTCTCAACAGCCTCGCTGAGGCCCAGAGAGGTTGAATAACTTGCCCGTGGTCTCTTAGCTAGTTAATAGTGGAGTCAGGATTCCACCCCAGAGAGTCTGGCTTCAGAGCTTGGCATGTAAATTTTGGTGACTATAGCTCTCAACTCTTTTTTCTGTGGTGGAATTGAGAGTACACTATTTACACAGATGCCTTTGAATGAGATAAGAATTCACTTTTTATCCCCAGAGAAGAAGTGAGTCAATACTATTTTTACTATTTTTACTTCTGCTCCTAGATTGTTGAGTTCCAAAGAAATGTTCCCATATGACAAAATTTTAATGGCTTAATTTATAATGCAGTTATCATAATATATTAGTTATAATATTTTCCATAACAGATGTTTATTTTTTACTATATTTTTACTAAACAACACACGGAAAAACTAAAAATATCTAAACGTAAAGAATATTTTCATTATGCCTTCTTTCGGGTGTTTGTAGTTGTGTATCTGGAATTTTTTTTACCCTGATTTAGAGATTCCTATCAAGGTGTTTTGTATACAATAGGTACCAAGGAAGCCTTTTAAGAATGAAGGAGTTGCCTGAATGACCGATAACTTCCTGCACACCTCAGTGAAATTCAGTTTTGAAAATTCATCTACTTTGCCTTCTCATATAACACAACAGCTGTTGCAACATTAATTTTATCATAAGTTTACATTTACTTTAGAAAACTTTTTTTAAAAATTAGCAATCAGATAGACGATGTGGATTCGAATCTAATGGCTATTAGCTGGGTGATATTGGATAATCACTCATTTCCCACCAAACTAAGTTCCTTCATCTTTTCTTCATAATTGGTAATAGTCACTATTTAAGAGGACCTCTAAAAGAACACAATCACATAGTATATGTGAAGTACTAAACACACTGTCCATACATAGCAGGCATGACATTAATATAATATGACATAGACTGATCTTGAGAAATTATTAATAATGACTGTTTTCAGACTCAATTACTTAATCTTTTCCATCATAGTATGCTCTTAAAATATATTTCTACTAAATAAATTTATGTAGTGCTGAACTTTAATATCTTATCTGATATGGCCTTATTTTGGTATATGTATCAGATCATTGATCAGAAGTTTCTTGCAGAGAATATGTTTCTGAGGACCATCAGGTTTTTGATAGATGTGTTTATCTTTGATGAGTAAGAGTAAAAGAAAATGGTGAAACACATTGTCTATAAGAGAAAATCAATGTTTTCCTGAGCCCTGGGTTTTCCCATGTAGGATGTATTGCCATGGAGGATCTGCTCCCATTCACTTCCACACTGTCTTTGTGAACACACCAATTCTGCCATGCTCCTCTGAGACTGAAGGGCTGTCATCATCATTCTAATATGTGCGTAATTACACATAATATGTGTCCAATCTGCCAGTCTAAATGTGGAGAGCTGACATCCTGGCATGCTTATGCATGTATTCCAGCCAGTTCTCTAAACCCTGTGGCACCTTTCAGCATAGCTACTGAGTAATCCATAAAGTGCTTTAAGTCAGAATTAGGTGCGCAAAAAGAATGGAGACATAGGGAAAAGGAGCAGTTATACAAAGGTCTTAGGTCTGAATTTTTTTTTTTTTTTTAGACAGTTTCATTCTTGTTACCCAAGCTAGAGTGCAATGGTGCAGTCCTGCCTCACTGCAACCTCTGCCTCCTGGGTTCAAGCAATTCTCCTGCCTCAGCCTCCCAAGTAGCTGGGATTACAGGCGTGTGCCACCATGCCCGACTAATTTTTTTTGTATTTTTAGTAGAGATAGGGTTTCACCATGTTGGCAAGGCTGGTCTCAAACTCCTGACCTCAGGTGATCCGCCTGTCTCGGCCTCCCAAAGTGCTGGGCTTACAGGTATGAGCCACCACGCCCAGCACTAGGTCTGAAATTTAAGCTCCAGTGTTCAGGAAACTACCAGATACAACTGGGTAAAGATTATGCTTTTTCCATTTTTGAGTCAAAATAATCATAAAAATGTTGAGACATTACTTGGCAGAAAGCATTATAAGAATATAGTGGAAGCAAAAAGTGAACATTTGCTGGCTTCTTACAATGTTCTAGATAATGAGAAAGGTATTTATATACATTATCACATTTAAGTCTCAGAACAGTTTCACAGAGCAGGTAGCATTTGATCCATTTTGGAGATGACACTTATGGCACAGAGATGTTAAGTAGCTGACCAAAATTCACTTAGTTGAAATCTGAAACAAAACAAAAGAAAACAAAACAAAAAAAAATTTCTAATTCTAAAGCCCAGGAGTGTTTTTAGTACATAGCAGTGCCTCATCAGGAATTCTGTGGATAAAAATGTGTGTCAGTATTTAAGGACATAATTAAAGTCTCTAAAGAAGACACAGTGAGAAACTATAAATTTCAATTCTTTAGATGTGTCTAGAGTCCCAGCAGAATCAGCTTACCATTGCATTCCTCCCACTGCAGTCCTGAGGGGTTGGTCTGTGAGCCATGATAAAAGGGAAGGAAAATGGTTGAGTGGTGGATAGGAAAGAAATTTGATCCTCTTGACCTTGTGTTGAAAGTTCTCACCTTGAAGTTGTCCCAAGACTGCCTGAATAACGAGGGCTGTCATGAGGAAGACTGATAAAGACTGAAAGTCTGACAGTGACAACAATAACATTTCATCATTGGTAAAAATGTTCCACAAGGGGCTGATAATATACCCAGGGATCATGCATGACTTATTCACATAATGGCAGTGGCTCCCATTCAGAATAGTTTCTGAAGACAATGGAATATGGGCTGGCAAAGCGTTTCTGCTCCATCAGTAAAGACATCTTTGTCCAGGAGAGAAGCTAATGAAATAACATTACTTAAATCCTTTCTTTTTTGTGTGTCAAAAGGTGAAAGGATGAAAGTTTAAGGCAAGATTTAATGGTCTCGTGTACTTTTATGTGAAATATGGAATTTGGTGGTTCTTCTATGTATTGGGACGTGAAATACACTTTAAAAAAAAGAAGCAAGAAGAAGATAAAGGTAATTTGGTGTTCTAGAACTGATTGTACAGGGGAGACCCACTTACATCTCAGGCCATGTGTGATGTCCTTTGAACATTAGCATAACCACCTGTGGATTTTGTAGAGTTCAAGTACACCATGCGAAAGACATTTTATCTGAAGAGTTTACTTTACTTTAAATTCTGTGTAAAAGCCACAGATGTAGTGGCTTAGCTTTATTCAGTTATTAAATATGCATCTAAACAGCCAGACAGTGATGTGGAGAAATGAGTACTTCTTTTACTGTGGGTAGAAATGTTAATTGGTACAATTATTTTTTAAGCAATTAGAATATACTTATTAAATATAAAACATGTTTTATTTAGAAAGTCATATAACATTCACACAGAAATAGTCATAAAAGCACATAAAGATACATACATACCTGTGTGATTTTCTATTTTTGTAAAATATGTTATTAAATAGGTATAATCTTTGTGTCCTTGGACATATATATACACACATACACATACATACACATAAGCATATTCATTCCAGCACTCATCACAATGACCACAATTGAGTATAAACCTAATTAATAAGAAATTAAGCAATGTAAATTAGTTCAGCCATTGTGGAAAGTTGTTTGGCCATTTCTGAAATAGCTTAAAACTGAACAACCATTCGACACAGCAATCCAATTATTGGGTATATACCCAAAGTAATGTAAATCATTCTACCATAAAGACACATACATGTGTATGTTTACTGCAGCACTATTCACAATAGCAAAGACATGGAATCATTGTAAATGCCCATCAGTGGTAGACTGGATAAAGAGAACGTTTTACATATACACCGTGGAATACTACACAACCATAAAAACAAATGAGATCCTGTCCTTTGCAGCAACTTGGACAGCTGGAGACCATTATCCTAAGCAAGCTAAAGCAGGAACAGAAAATCAAATACCACATGTTCTCTCTTACAAGTGGGAGCTAAACATCGAGTACATATGGACACAAAGAAGGGAACAACAGAGACCAGGGCATACCTGAGGGTAGAGGGTGAGAGGAGGGTAAGGACTGAGAAACTATCTGTGCGGTACTATGTTTATTACCATAGTGATGAAATAATCTGTATATCAAACCCCCATGACATGCAATTTACCTATATAACAAACCTGCACACGTACACCTGAACCTAAAATAAAAGTTAAAAAAGAAGTAAATTAGATGCATGTAATAGACTACTAAACAACTCTTATAAAAAATAAGATAAGTCTATGCCCAGATACAGATAAATTTCCAAAACATATGGTTAAATGAAAAGAAGCAAACTAAGAGCAGGAGGTGCAGTCTTACTTCATTCTGTGAATGTTGAGTAAGATGAAATGTGTGTGTTTCCCAAAAACAGAATATTGCATAGAAAAAAAAAGGTGGTAAATAACAGATAATTATTCATGAAATTACAGGGGATTTAAAATATTCTGCACTGGACATTTCTGTATCATCTTATTTTTCATTATATGTATATTTATATGCATATCTTTATAATAAGAAAAATGGATATTTATTTATGAAAAGCCATAGAGTAAACAAGGAAAAAAGAGCAGCAATCCAGGCCTAGAGAAGCTTTTAAAGCTACTGGTTGTGGCAGATGTATATGTGTAATACTATCAGGGTCTCCAGTGTGTACTAAAGAAAACACCATAACACCTCAAAAGCACAGGTCAAAAATACCTAGGATTTAGCGTTCTTTGACATTTCCCAGCTCTCCCTAAATAAATTTCTGAATGTCTTCATAATTCTTTATCCTCTTTCTGTGTTTTTTGCTGGCTGGTGTTCTTACTTGGCTCTTGATGGATCAGAGGATAAGCAGAAAAAGATCCCTTATAAGAACAAAATAACACTCCACAGTAGCAGAAAAACCATCTAAGGTTTTGAGGTCTGTAGCCCAGAAGTTGAGGGAGGTAGGGGTTGATGCCACTTTATATTTTTAGGTAAATTATGAAAAATATACTCAGCAATGTCTATGAGATGGTGGGTGGCCAAGGTTGTTAAAATAAGTTTTAAAAATTAGGGACAGAGATACAGATTATTATTATTTTCTTCAAAAGTCCAACTATAAAGAATTATGTTTGGTAATTTAAATTTGACTTGAATTTTTAAAATTTTATAAGTTACATATTTGATTTTTTAAAATGGAAATAAAGCTAAGACATTTCAGTGGGCTTCTGCAGAAATTATTACTTGAGTGTGTGGAACTTATTCAGAACATGGTAAGAGCATATTTTAACTTCAGCAAAAAATTATGAAATATAGAAAAACAATATTGCTTCTGGATTCATATGAACAACTTTATTGACATATAATTGATTGTAATAAATTATACATATTTAAAGTGGACAATTTGTTAGGCTCTGATGTATTTCTACATCCATAAAGACATCACTACAATCAAGATACCTAACATTTCTGTCACCCACAAAGGTCCCCTCATGCCCTTTTGTAACATCTTCCTTGCTTCACCTCCATCCTTAGGCAACCACTGATCTCACTTTTGTTTATAGACTGATTTATATTTTTATAATTATATATCAATGAACTCACCTTACATGTGTTAATTTTTGCCTGGCTTTTGCAACTCAACATAATGATTTTGATATTCATCCATGTTTTTCTATGTATCAATAACTTGTTCCTTTTTATAGCTGAGTAGTAGTACATGTGCGGGTATATTATAATCTGTTTATTCCTTCACCTATTGATGGAAATGTAAATTGCTTCCATTTTAAGCTGTTATAGATAAAGCTGTTATGAACATTCACGTACAAGGCTTTATGTATACGCATGTTTTCATTTCCCTTGGGTAAAATGTCTAAAGGTGAAATGGCTGGATTGTATGAGTGATATACATTTTACTTTTTAAGAAACTGCCAAACCATGTTGGCAAAATAATTGCAGCAATTTTACATTTCCAATAGCAGTATTTGAGAATTTCAGTTGCTCCACATCCTAGGCAATCCAATATGCAGTGAAATTTAATTGCAGTTTTAATTTGCATTTCTCTGATGAATGATGATATTGAACAAATTCTTATGCATGTAATGGTCATGTGTATATCTTCTTTTAAAAATTGTCTGTTCAAATCTTTCTCTATTTTTAATTTGTTTTTCACCTTCTACTTACTGAGTTTAAGACTTTTTTACACACTCTAACTGTAAGTTCTTTGAGATATGTGTCTCAAATATTTTCTTTCAATGTGGGGCTTGCATTTTCTTTCTCTTAATGAATCTTATGAAAAGTAAAAGTATCTAATTTTGATGAAATTCAACCTAGCAATTATTTATTTTATGCTTCATGCTTTTTGTGTTCTACAATACTTTTAACTATCCTGATATCACATGGTTTATTAAATATGTTTTAATATAAAAGTTCAATGGTTTTAGATTTTACATTTAGGATTATAACTTTTCAAGTTAATTTTTGAACATGGTATGGAATAAATGTTAACTTGTTTTTATATAGATATCCAGTTGTTCCATCACCATTTGTTGAAAAGATGATTTCATTTTCTATTGAATTTCTTTGTCATCTTTGTGGAAAATCAAATATTTTGTGGGTCCATTTCTGGACTGTTTATTTTATTTCATTGATATCTATCTTTTGCCTATATCAAACTGTCTTGATGATTATTAACTTTTCCCCCAACTTTATTGAAGTATGCTTGACAAATAAAAATTGTACATATTTAGAATGTACAGGTGATGTTTTGACATATGTATATATTGTACAGTGATTACCACAGTCGACTAACATGTTCATCACCTCACAGTTATCTTTTGTGTGTGTATATGTGTGTGTGTGTGTAGTGATGTTCTGGATTCATATGAACAACTCTATTGAGGTATAATTGATTGTAATAAATTATACATATTTAAAGTGGGCAATTTGTTAGGTTCTGATATATTTCTACACCCACAGGTTCAATATAAGACCATTTGAAATCTACCCTCTTAGCAAATTTCAAGTAGCAATACATTATAAACAATGATAGCCACCATATTGTTCATTAGGTCTCCAGTAATTACTCATCTTATAATTGAAAGTTTGCACCCTTGACCAAATTCTCCCCCTTTCCCCCCACCCTCAGCCCATAGTAACCACTATTCTATTCTTTGTTACCCAGAGTTTGACTTGTTTTTAGATTCAACATATAAGTGAGATTATTTAGTGTTTGTCTTTCTGTGTATTTCACTTAGCATATTGTCCTCAAGAGTCACCCATGTTGCAGATGGCAGAATTTCCTTCTTTTACTAAGGCTGAATAATCTTTTATTATGATATTAAAAACCGTGTATATGTATATATATATATATACACACACACACACACACCACACACATATGCTGTATATATACCATAGCATATATGAGTGTGTATATTTTATATATATATTATAGATACACATATATAACCAACCACATTTTAAAAAATTCATTCATCTGTCAACAGACACTTGTTCTTTTTTAGTTTGTTTTGTTTTGTTTTGTTTTATGAGACAGAATTTCGCTCTTCTCGCCTAGGCTGGAGTGCAATGGCATGATCTCGGCTCACTGCAACCTCCACCTCCTAGGTTCAAGTGATTCTCCTGCCTCAGCCTCTAGAGTCGCTGGGATTACAGGCGCCCACCTAATTTTTGTATTTGTAGTAGAGACGGGGTTTTTCCATGTTGGCCAGGCTGGTCTCAAACTCCTGACCTCAGGTGATCCGCTCACCTTGGCCTCCCAAAGTGCTGGGATTACAGGTGTGAGCCACTGCGCCTGGCCCTTATGTTATTTTAATATCTTGGCTATTGTGAATAATGCTGCAATAAACATGGGAATGTAGACTTCTTTTCCAAACAGTAATTTTATTTCCTTTGGATATATACTCAGAAGTGGGATTGCCAGATCATATGATTTTTCATTTTGTGAGGACCCTCCGTACTGCTTTGACTGTACCAATTTACATTCCCAACGACAATGAAAAAGGGTACACTTTTCTCCAAATCTTTACGAACACATCTTATCTTTCGATTTTTTAACTGTAGCCATCCTAACACGTGTGAGGTGATATCACATTATGGTTTGGATTTGCATTTCCCAGATGATTGGTGATATTGAGCACCTGTTCATATACCTGTTGACCATTTATATGCCCTTTTTGGAAAACTCTCTATTCAAGTTTTTTGTTCACTTTTTAGGAGGGTTATTATTATTTGCAATTGAGTTGTATGAGATTCTCTACATATTTGGGATGTTAGTCCCTTATTGTATATAGGGTTTACAACCTTTTTTCCCATTCTGAAGGTTGCTTTTTCATTTTGTCATTTCCTTTGCTGCAGAGAAACTTTTGAGTTTGATGTAGACACTGTTATTTATTTTTGCTTTTATTGCCTGTGCTTTCAGATTACTGTTAACTTTATTTTTTTTTTCAGTTTATTCTTTCCTTTATTTTTTTCTCTTTTTTTATTATTATTATACTTTAAGTTTTAGGGTACATGTGCACAATGTGCAGGTTAGTTACATATATATACATGTGCCATGCTGGTGTGCTGCAGAGTTAATGGGTGCAGATGACTGTTAACTTTATAAGCACTTTTGAAATCAGGTTAGGTAAATACTTCAACATGGTTCTTCTTTTCACTCTTCCAGAGTCATTACATTGCCACATAAATTTTAGAATTGACTCATCAATTTATGTTAAAAAAATCTGCTGGGATTTTGATTAGGATTGTGTTGACTCCAAAGGTAAATCTGAGTAAAATTACCATCTTAAAAATATTGAGTCTTTTAATTAATGAACGTGGTGTATCTCTTCATCATTTGGATCTCCTTTAATTTCTCCAAGAAATTCTTTGTAGTTTCCATGTAGAAAAAAGTTTGGAAACCTTTTTTTTTTTTTTTTTTTAGACAGAGTCTCCCTCTGTCACCCAGGCTGGAATGTAATGGTGCTTTATCGGCTCACTACAACCTCCATCTCCCAGGTTCAAGTGATTCTTCTGCCTCAACCTCCCAAGTGGCTGGGATTACAGGCATGCACCATCATGCCTGGCTAATTTTGTATTTTTAGTAGAGATGGGGTTTCACCATGTTGGTCAGGCTGGTCTTAAACTCCTGACCTCAAGTGATTCACCCGCATAGGCCTCCCAAAGTGCTGGGATTGCAGACATGAGCCACCACTCCCAGCCAGACATCTTTTATATATTTAATCCTTAGTATACATTTTTGGGGGTAAGGGAACGATTATAAATGATATTTTTAAAGTCAATGATTTCCCAATTGTCTGTCCCTAATTTATAATTATACTATTGATTTTTATATTAATTTTGAACCCCGTGATATTGCTAAATTTGTTTGTTCTAGAAATTTGTTTATAGTTTCCTTGGGATTTTCTACATAAACCATTATATCATTTACAAATAGGACAATGTTACTTTCTTTATTTCCAATCATTATGTCTTACAAAATCAAAACAAACAAAACCCAGGTGTTTTTTGTTTGTTTGTTTGCTTAACCTTCTTCTTTTTTAAAAGAAAAAAAAAAATTTTAGAGACAGGGTCTTGCTCTGTTGCCCAGGCTGGAGAACAATGGTATTCCCATGGCTCACCACATTTTCAACCTCCTGGGCTCAAACAATTGAGGCTTTTTCAGATAAATAAAAGTTGAATTTTGTGAAATTCTTTCTCTGCACCTAACTAAAATAATCATTTTTTCTCCTTTATATTGTTAATATGGTGGATTGTATTGACTGAGTTTTCAAATGTTACTCCAACCTTGCATTTCACTTGTTCATTATATGTTATCCTTTTTATATATAGTCAAATTAAGTTAGCTAAATTTTGTTAAGAATATTTTTAAGCTTTTATTTTAGGTTCAAGGGTAGATGTGCAAGTTTATTATATAGGTAAGATTGCACGTCACAGGGGTTTGGTGTACAGATAATTTTGTCACCTAGGTAATATGCATAGTACCTACCCTCTGCTGTCAAGTAGTACCTGATGTCTGTTGTTTCCTTCTTTGTATCCATGTGTGGTTAATATTTAGCTCCCACTTATAAGTGAGAACATGCAGTATTTGGTTTTCTGTTCCTGCATTAGTTCTCTAAGGATAATGACTTCAAGCTCCATCTCTGTTGCTGCAAAGGACATGATTTTCTTAATTAATTAATTAATTAATTAATTTTTTTATTTATTTTTGAGATGGAGTTTCACTCTTGCTGCCCAGGCTGGAGTACGATGGTGTGATCTTGGCTCACCACAACCTCTGCCTCCCGGGTTCAAGCGATTCTCCTACGTCAGCCTCCCGAGTAGCTGGGATTGTAGGCATGCATCACCATGCATGGCTAATTTTTTTGTATTTTTAGTAGAGACGGGGATTCTCCATATTGGTCAGGCTGGTGTCAAACTCCCGACCTGGTGATCTGCCCGCCTTGGCCTCCCAAAGTGCTGGGATTGCAGGCGTGAGCCACCGCACCTGGCCGACCTCATTATTTTTATGGCTGTGTAGTATTCCTGCTACATATACAGCATATTTTTTTAATCCAGCCTACCACTGATGGACATTTACAATGATTCTATGTCTTTTCTGTTGTGAATAGTGCTACAATGAACTTACGTGTGCATGTGTCTTTATGGTAGAATGATTCATATTTCTTCGGGTATATACCTAATAATGGGATTGCTGGGTCAAACGATAGTTCAACAGAACTAAATTAAGTTCTCTGAGAAATTGTCAAACTGCTTTCCACAATGGCTGAACTAATTTGCATTCCTACTAACAGTGTATAAGAGTTCCCTTTCCTCAGCAAACTCACCAGCATCTGTTAGTTTTGTTTTTTTTTTTACTTTTTAAAAATAATAGCCATTCTGACTGGTGTGATATGGCGTCTCTTTGTGGTTTTGATTTGCATTTCTCTCATGATTAGTGATGTTGAATATTTTTTCATATTCTTGTTGTCCACATGTATGTATTCTTTCGAAAAGTATCTGTTCATGTCCTTTGCCCACTTTTTAATGGGGCTGTTTGTTTTGTGCTTGTTACTTTAAGTTCTCTTACATATTTTGGATGTTAGAACTTTGTCAGAGGCACAATTTGCAAAAATATTCTCCCATTCTGTAGGATTTCTGTTTACTCTCTTTATAGTTTCTTTTATTATACAGAAGCTCTTTAGTTTAATTAGGTCCCATTTGTCAATTTTTGTTTTTGTTGCAATTGCTTTTGATGACTTTGCCACAGAATCTTTGCTGGGGCCAATGTCCAGAATGGTATTTCCTAGGTTGCCTTCCAGGGTTTCTATTGTCTTAGGTTTTACATTTAAATCTTTAATTCATTTTGAGTTGTTTTGTATGTGGTGTAAAGAAGGGGTCCAATTTTAATCTTCTTTATATGGCTAGCCAGTTATTTCAGCACCATTTATTGAATAGAGAGTGCTTCCTGCATTGCTTTTTTTGTTGTTGTTGACTTTGTTGAAAATCAGATGGTTGTTGGTGTGTGGCTTTATTTATGGTTCTTTAGTCTGTTCCATTGGTCTATGTGCCTATTTTTGTACCAGTACTATGCTGTTTTGGTTACTGTAGGCTTGAAGTATAGTCTGAAGTCAGGTAATGTGATGCCTCCAGCTTTGTTCATTTTGCTTAGGTTTGCTTTGGCTATTCAAGCTCTTTTGTGGTTCCATATAAATTTTAAAATAGTTTTTTGTTTTCTAATTCTGTAAAGAATGTCATTGGCAGTTTGATAGGAATAGTATTAAATCAGTAAATTGCTTTGGGCAGTATGGCCATTTTAACAATACTTATTCTTCCATTCATGAACATGGAATGCTTTTTCATTTATTTGTGTCAATTCTTATTTTTTTAAGCAACGTTTTGGCATTCTCAATGTAGAGATTTTTCACCTCCCTGGTTAGTGTATTCCTGGGTATTTTATTTCTATTGTGGCTATTGTAAATAAGATTGCATCTTGATTTGACTCTCAGTTTGGACACTGTTGGTGTATAGAAATGCTAATAATTTTTGTGCATTGATTTTGTATCCTGAAACTTTGCTGAAGTTGTTTATCACCTGAAGGTGCTTTGGGGCAGATACTATGGGGTTTTCTAGGTATGGAATCTTATTTTCTGCAAACAGAGATAGTTTTGACTTCCTGTCTTCTGCTTTGGATGCCTTTCACTTATTTTTTTCTCTTGCCTGGTTGTTCTGTTTAGGGTTTCTAGTAGTGTGTCGAGTATGAGTGGGAAGAGTAAGCATCCTTGTCTTGCTCTGATTCTCAAGGGAAATGCTTCCAACTTCACTCATTCAGCATAATGTAGGCTGTGGGTTTGTCATAGATGGCTGTTACTATTTTAAAGTATGTTCCTTCACTGCCTAGTTTGTTGAGAATTTTTCACATGAAGGGATATTGAATGTTATAGAAGGACTTTTCTGCATGTATTGAAATGATCATGAGATTTTTGTTCCTAGTTCTGTTTATGTGATGAATCACTTGTACTGATTTTTTTTTATGTTGAGCCAAACTTGCATCCCAGAAATGAAACCTACTTGATCTTGGTGGATTAGCTTTCTGATGTCCTACTGGATTCAGTTTGCTGGTGTTTTGTTGAGGATTATTCTATCTATCTTAATCAAAGATATTGGCCTGAAGTTTTCTTTTCTGTTGTGTCTCTGCCATTTCTTGGTGTCAACATGATGTTGGCCTCATAGAATGACTTAGGGAGGAGTCCCTCCTCCTTAATTTTTTTTTGGAATCATTTCAGTAGGAATGGTACCAGCACTTCTTAATATACTTGGTAGAATTTGACGGTCCATCCCTCTGGTCCTGGGCTTTTTTTATTTGTTTGTTTGTTTTGGTTGGTAGGCTTTTTATTACTGATTCAATTTTAGAACTTGTTATTGGTCTGTTCAGGGAGTCAGTGTCTCCCTGGTTCAATCTCAGGAGGTTGTATAGTTCCAGGAATTTATTCATTTCTTGTAGGTTTTCTAGTTTGTGTGCAGAGAGGAGTTCATAATAGTCTATGAGAGATTTTTGTATTTCTGTAGGATCAGTGGTTATGTCCCCTTTGCCATTTCTGATTGTGTTTATTTAGATCTTCTCTTTTTTTCTTTATTGGTCTAGCTAGTGGTCTGTCGATCTTATTTATTCTTTCAAATAGTCACCACCTGGATTTGTTGATCCTTTGGAGGGTTTTCATGTATCAATTTCATTCAGTTCTACTCTGATTTTGGTTATTTCTTGTCCTACTAGCTTTGGGATTGTTTTGCTATTGTTTTATAGTTCTTCTAAGTGTGATGTTAGGTTGTTAATTTGAGATCATTATAAGTTTTTGATGTGGGCATTTAGAACTGTAAGCTTTTTTCCCTTAACACTGCTTTATCTGTGTCCCAGAGAATCGGATATATTATACCTGTTTTCTCATTAGTTTTAAATAATTTATTGACTTAGACATTAATTTCATTGTTTATTTAAAAATCATGCCAGAGCAAGTTGCTTAATTTTCATGCAATTGTATGGTTTTGCGCAATCTTCTTATTATTGATTTCTATTTTTATTGTGCTGTGCTCAGGGAGTATGGTTGGTATGATTTCAGCTTTTTGTTGAATTTGCTGAGAATTGTTTTATTGCCAACTGTCTGCTCAATTTTAGAATATATGCCATGTGCAGATGAGAATAATGTATATTCTGTTGTTTTGGACTAAAGAGTTCTGTAGATGTCTGTTAGGGCTATTTGGTCAAGTGTAGAGTTAAGTTCTCAAATATATTTGTTTTCTGCTTCGATAATCTTTCTAATCCTGTCAATGGGGTGTTGAAGTCTCCCATTATTATTATGTGGTTATCCAAGTCTCTTCATAGGTGTCTAAGATCTTGTCTTATGAAACAGGGTGCTAATGTGTTGGGTAAACATATATTTTGTATAGTTAAGTCTTCTTCTTGGAAGAAACCATTTGCCATTATATAATGCTATACTTTGTCTTTTTTGACCATTATTTGTTTAAAGTCCACTTTGTCTGAAATTAGAATAGCAACCCTACTTTTTTCTATTTTGCATTTGCTTGGTAGGTTTTCCTCCCTCTCTTTCCTTTGAGCCTATGGGTGTCATTGCATGACACATGAGTCTCTTGAAGACAGAATACAGTTTGGTCTTGCTTTCTTTTCTAATTTGCCACACTGTGCCTTTTAATTGAGTCATTTATCCCATTTACATTCAAGGTTAATATTGATATGTGTGGATTTGATCCTGTCATCATGTTAGCTGGTTATGATTCAGACATGATTTTGTTGTTGCTATATAGGGTCAATGGTCTGTGGTGGCCAGTAATGGTCTTTCATTTCCATAGTTAGCATTCACTTAAGGACCTCTTTCTTGTAAGATGGGTCTGGTGGTAATGATTTCCCTTAGCATTTGCTTGTCTGAAAAGGATCTTATTTTTTCTTTGTTTATGAAGCCTAGCTTGGCTGTATATAAAAATTCTTTGTTGCAATTTCTTTTCTTTAAAAATGCTGAATATAGTCCCCCATCTCTTCTGGCTTGTAGGGTTTCTGACCTTCTTATAAGATCTACTGTTAGCCTGATGGGTTTCCCTTTGTAGTTAACCTGCCTCTTCTCACTACCTGCATTTATATTTTTTCTTTTATTTTGATTTTGGAGAATCTGATGACTACGTGTCTTGGGAGTGTCTTATTGTATAGTACCTAAATACGTTTCCTTCATTAGAATGTTGGCCCCTCTAGTGAGGTTGGGGAAATTTTCCTGGATAATATGCTCAAATATGTTTTCCAAGTTGCTTGCTTTCTCTCCCTCTCTTTCAGGGGTGCCAGTGAATTGTAGATTTAGTCTCTTTACATAATTCCATAATTTTCAAGTTTTGTTCAATCTTTTTTATTCATTTTTTAAACATTTTTGTCTGACTAATTCAGAAACCAGTCTTCAAGCTCTGAGAGTCTTTCCTCAGCTTGGTCTATTCTGCTGTTAATACTTGAGATTGTATTGTGAAATTCTTATAGTCAGTTTTTCAGTGTATCGGATCAGTTTGGTTCTTTCTTATAATAGTCATTTCATCTTTAAGCCCCTGTATCATTTTATTGTGTTTCTTAGATTCCGTGGATTGGGTTTTGACTTTCTCCTGAGTCTTGATAAACTTCATTCCTATCCATATTCTGACTTCTATGTCTGTCATTTCAGCCATTTCGGCCTGGTTTAAAAACCATTGCTGGGAAACTAGTGCAGTCATTAGTAGATAAGAAGACACTGTGGTTTTTTGAGTTGCCAGGCTTCTTTCACTGGTTCTTTCTCATCTTTGTGGGCAGATGTTACTTTAATCTTTGAAGTTGCTGTCCTTGGAATTTTTTTTTAATCTTTTTGATGCATTCAGGGTTTTGATTGTGGCATAAGATGGGTTCAGGTGACTGGTTTCATTTCTGGAAGATTTTAGGGCACCAAGGTTGAACTCAGAACTCCTGGGCTGTGTGCTCTGACTCTGGGTGGCTGGTAAAGAGCCCCAAGCTTTGTTCCCTGGCCCCTGAAGGTTACAGACCTGCTGTGTGAGAGGGGTTGAGGTGTTCCCAGTTCACTGGCCACAACAGTCTGATGGGGGTTGCAGGCCAACGGGCTTAATTGGGATGGTGGTAGTGGGATCTGTGCTTGCTCACATGTACCTGATGCCACAATGTGGTGGGGTGCCCATGCATCAGCTGGGGCAGGTCATTTGTGGGAGTGGAGCGGTGGCATTCCTGCATGTTCTTGCACTAGTGGTGGTGGTGGTGCAGTGGGGTTGTGGTGCTGATGAGGGCAGAGTTACCAGTGTTTGCACTGGCAGTAGTGGGGTGGTGGGGTGCCTGTGTGTTAGCAGGTGTGGGGCTATGAGGTACACTTACACCAGCAGTGGTGGAGTGACAGGATTTGCATGCACATGTGCACTGGCTTGTGTGAGGAGGCAAGATTGGCCCATGCCTGTGTGCTGGCAAAGCAGTGGCAGGGGAGGTCATGGGCAAGTTCATGCTTGCAAAGTAATGGGTGGAGGCTGCAGTAGGGGCAGGCTACAGATGGATTTTTGTGTGTTGGCCAAGGCTGGTCTGCTGGAGCTCTCCAATGGTCATGCCTGGCTTGCTGGTGAAGGAGCTATGATGTGTGCCCCCATTAAGCACCCTGGCTGGGCATTTGAGGCTGTGCTGCAAGCAGGGATGGCCAGAGAGGCCAGAAGAGAGACGGTAGTTAAAATCAAACTGGCTCTGTCTCACAGGCCTGCTATGTCAAGGTCTTACAGTCACCCAAAGGCCAAAGTTCCTAAAGGAGCATGGTGAGCCTTGAGAGATGGGCATCCCTGGCCATACCCCTCTCCAGCCATTCCACAGCAAACCCTCTGGGCTTTGCACAGACTGAAGTCATACCACCTCTCCAAGCAGCTTTCCCTGCCATTTCAAGTGTCTTTGAGGGCTGCGGAGGAGTCTCTTGGTGCTAGAATTCCAGATATCTGTGGTAAGAGCAGGCCACTTCTCATCTTTTCAACTCACTCCTTCCCCAGGAGTCACCTGAGGCTAGCAATGAGTCCCAGTGCTTGGCAGCCCCATGCTGTTTTCCCAGCCTCTTTAGCCTAGTGTCTGATTTCTGCCTCCAGCCACTCTCAATGCCTTCCCACTAGAGTTCTGCTTGGAGTGTGCCCGTCTTCCTGATATCCCAGCCTCTGCATGGGAGATGTTTCTCTTGGCTGCATCTAGTCAGCCATCTTGGCTCCCATCAAAATTTTTATATTTATGAGTGATATTGACCTCTAAGTTTCCTTTTTCATTATGTCTTTGTCAGGTTTTAGTATTAGGTTTATGTTAGCCTCAGAAAACAACTTGACTGTGTTTATTCCATCTCTATTTTTTTAAAAAGTATGTGAATGCCTTATGTTTTCCTATATATTTTCTTCTTCCTCAAATCTTTGATACAATTCATTAGTGAAACTACTTATATCTGCGTTTTTTAGGAAAGATTTTTGAGGTTAAATTAAATTTCTTTAATTTTGAGATTAAACTAAATTTCTTTAATAGATAGAGAACTATTCATGTTTTCTTTTTTTCTTGTGTTAATTTGTATTTTTCAAATGTATTTTTCAATATATTTGTCCATTTAATCCAGAATAATGAATTTGTTGTTCTTGGTTATTACCATATTGTTAATGTCTTTTTTATGATTATAGGATTTTTGTTGGTAGATTCTTCTTTATTGCTGATATTGCTGATATGAGTTCTCTTTCTTTTTCTTATTTCATCTAGAGATAAAAACCAAGTTTTATGTTAATTTCAAACAGCCATCTTTTAATATGGAAAGTTAAATGCTCTCTATATTATCTGTTTTCCCTTTCACTGATTTCTGCTTATTTTTAAAAATTATTTTCTTTGTTACTTCCGCTTATCTTGGGCTAATTTGCTCTTCTCTTTTGATTTCTCAATGCAGATACATAGGTCATTTATTTTAGATCATTTTAGGTTTTTGTTTCTAATATATATATTTAAAGGTATACATTTTCCTGTAAGTACTGCTTTCTCTGCCTTTCACAAATTTTCGTATGTTGTCATTTTGCTACCACTTAATTCAGTGTATAATCATGCATCACTTCACAATTGGGATACATTTTGAGAAATGCATCATTAAGAGATTTTATCCTTGGGCAAATATCACAGAATGTACTTACACAAATCTACATAGTATAGCCTACAACACACTTAGGCTATGTGGTATAGCCTATTGCTCCCAAGCAACAAACCAGTACATCATGTTATTGTACTTAATACTGTAGGCAATTACAACACAATGGCAAATATTTGTGTATCTAAACATAGAAAAAGTATAGTAAAACTATGGTATTAAAATTCTATGGAACTACCATCATATATATGGTTTATTGTTGACAGAAATGTAGTTATATGTGGTACATGACTGTATTTCCAATTTATCTGATGATTTCTTATTTGATCTATGGCATTATTAATTTGTAGGTAATTGAAGTCTCCTTGATATTTTATTGACTTTTTATTTAATTCCAATGTGTTCAGAGAATATTCATAGTATATATATGTATACCTTTTAAATGTCTTGAAATTTGTTTTATAGCCCAACATAAAGTCTATCTTAATGAATATACCAAGTAAACTTGAAAAAAGATGTATATTCCAAAGTTGTTATATGAACATTTATTTATTTATTTTCATTTTTATTTTTTTTTTTTTGAGACAGAGTCTCACCCTGTTGCCAGGCTGGAGTGCAATGGCGTGATCTTGGCTCACTGCAACCTCTGCCTCCTGGGTTCAAGCAATTCTCCTGCCTCAGCCTGCCAAGTAGCTGGGACTACAGGTGTGCGCCACCATGCCCAGCTAATTTTTGTATTTTTAGTAGAGACGAGGCTTCACCATGTTGGCCAGGATTATCTCGATCTCTTCACCTCATGATCCACCCATTTCAGCCTCCCAAAGTGTTGGGACTACAGGCATGAACCACTGTGCCTGGCCTATGTGAACATTTATTATATAAATTTGACTTGGATAAATTTGACTTGGATAAATGAAGATTATAATGTAGTTTTGGCTGAAGGTATAATAAACAGCTTTATCCAACCTTTCTACATCTAAGTGCCATGCCAGAGACTTGTTGAGGAGAATAATTTGTGATGAGGCTGCAAGGCTTATGGTGGGGTTTTAAATCTATTTTTGTGCAAACAAGGTGGGGACAGTTGCTATATCTGTACCAGCCACACAGATGTTGAAAGGTTATCAATTATTATTCTGACACAACCATCTCATTTAAAACAGTCATGGCCAACCCAGTTCAACCACAGTTAAGGCAATAAATATTTCTGCTTTAAAAATATTGCCTCCCCAAATTTTGGGCTGACAGAAATAATATTGGCTGCGATCAATATAACAATGTAGGTCACATAAGATTTTACTACACATCCTAGCTCTGGCACTAATCTTATTTTTGTGTCTTTGCTTGTTATTCTTCCAGTTAGTCTGCAAGCTCCTTGAAGGTGGGAAGCATGTATTATTCATCTTTGACACTATTCTCAGAATGTAACTTAATACCTGACACATATTAGGCTGTGAGCCGGGAGCAGTGGCATACACCTGTAATCCCAGCACTTTAGGAGGCCAAGGCGGGTGGATCACCTGAGGTCAGGAGTTCGTGAACAGCCTGACTAACATGGCGAAACCCCGTCTCTACTAAATACAAAAAAATTAGCCGGGTGTGGTGGGGCATGCCTGTAATCCCAGCTACTTGGGGGGCTGAAACAGGAGAATCACTTGTACCTGGAAGGTGGAGGTTGCAGTGGGCTGAGATCATGGCATTGCATTCCAGCCTGGGCAACAAGAGTGAAACGCCATCTCAAAACAACAACCACCACCACAACAACTAGGCTGTCATATTTTTTGAATGAATTATAAAATGACAATTACTACATAATTGTTGAATTATTCACTGAGCCATTTTGTTGATTTACACCTAGTCTCACTTTTTAAAATGATGTGGGGAAACTTACTCACTTGGATACCAGTAGAAAATAAATGTGTTTTTAAGTAGGGAAAGGGGGAAATGGGTACAGAGTTCGAGCAAAGGATAAGCAGACAAAACTATATAAAATACAGTCTTGTATAGTTGTTAAATATGAGCCCCCTTTTTACCATGTATTTTCTAGACGCCAAAACAAAATGAAACAACAACGCTGTAGCTGATGTTATCAGTGCCATGCCATATTGCCTAAACCTTTCTGTGTGTTCCTGACAACATTCAGCTAACTTGGGGATCATCCGTGCTTAGGATTCTTTCCTCAAGAACTTAAGAAAGAGGATGGAGGTACTGAGAACTTATCACCCAGAGCAACTTCATTCAAAGACTTGTCTACTCCTCCACCACTTGGGAATGACCATTCTAAGGCATATGTTTTCCATCATTTCTCAGAGTTTCTCAGTGGGATTGAGCCTCTGTGGCTCACTCTGGTAGTGTTTTTCATCCATCTTTCATGGATTGCCTCACCTCTCCACTACTTTGCCAGTGTTCATGGCCCTTCCCAAATAAACAACTTTTACTTTAATCCTTGTCTCAGCGTGTGCTTCTGGGAAGAGCCAGACTAAGATAGATATATAAATCAAAACGAGATTCCAAATACAACAAGTATAAAATAAATCATATTGGCAGGAAGAAATTTGTTCTGAAAAAAGCTTTTTCATGGATATATAGAGTGCGGCACTGGACACTTTGTAAAACAACATCTTTGATGACATTGATCAGGCAGTGTCTCCATCTCCTATGATCATGATGGCTTTCGACTCTTAAAAGAACCTGAGGAAGGGAAAAAAAAATTTAGTCCAGCTGTGGAAAGTGGAAATCAAAGCTCACATCTCTTTATTCTGTAGTTTTTATAGTAAAGATTAGGATTCAGATTATTCTATTACGGGTCACTTGACTATCATTGCGTTTTCAACCCAATTGCTACTTTCTTTTGTCACTTTACTCATTAGAAGGCTGCTATTCATTAGCTACTTTGTTATAGTTTTGGCTGACAAGCTGCTCACTTTCCAACTCTCTCCACACATTTGGTGTCACACATTTTTCTTATAAATTTACCTTTTAAAATAAAATTGTCGTGCATGGTTCCTGTAGAGGTGAGCAGGCTTTCCTTTGTTTTCTCCTGGGGAAGAAAAGAAATAATAAAAGAAAGGATGATGTGCTGACACATTGAATCCTTAAGCCAGACACTTCATTAGTATAGCAGGAAGTTTTTGATCATGAGTCTGATGGACAGTGCTAGTCCATGTGTCTTGCTGCCCTTGGACACCACTGGTTGTCATTGTCTCCTGAGTATTTCCTATACAATTCTGTCAAGTAACCATGCTTAACTTTTTTTCTACTCCTGTTTCCTGTGCCATTTCCTAATTATTCAATAAAAATAGAAAAGCAACCCTCCAGGAGAGTGAGAGTTAACAAAGAATTAAATGAAGTGAGAGATTCAGACCATGCTTAGACATCTGAAAATAAGCAGATTGTACCATAGTTGGTCTAGTTATTTTAGCTTCTTTGACAGCTTGTTCAGCACACAGTAGTCTATCTGTGATTAATTGTTTGGCTATCACTTGCTAATATGGCAAGATAAAAAAATCAACTATAAAGCTGCAGATTAGGCATGTCATATAGACTTAGCAAAAATTTGGGTTTATAGACTCAAGATAAAATATTTTGCTGAATAATTAAGTGTTGACTAATCAGTGCAAACCACCAGTGTGGAAAATTCAGCTTTTCTCAAAGACTACCACCCTCTCCCCTCCCTTCTCCCCAGCAATCCTCCTTTTTATATGTCTGAATATGAGCTATCCCAATACGTGCTATTCAAATGTGTGCTATCTGAATACATGCTATCTTTGGTAGGAACCAAAGCTGTCAGTTTGTTTATATATGGTAGACACTATAACTAAATGTTAATAGAAAAAAACAGCAGCTGCCTCTATCTAATTTAGGTAAAACACTATTATTCTGATTCTTAGAAGAGCAGATTAAAAGAATGTAGATCCCTAGTGGGGAGGTCAATACAGTGCCAGAGAGCAGGACTATTATTGAGAATTTTATTAATAATAAACATTCACTGAAAACTCATTTAGTGCTAAACTATCTCCTAAGTCCCTTTATGCCATTTCTTGTTTAATTCTCACAACAATTCCGAGGTAAAAATCATAATTACACTTCTTTTACAAATGAGAGACTTGAGGCAGAGAAATAGAATCTTTTAGATATTATTAGGCATTCTCTGTGCTAGGCATTCAAAGATTGCCTAATAATAGCTGATTGGTGAATCTTAGTTCTCATTTTGGGAAAAACTTGTATTGTTAAATCACTTTATTTTAGAGAAGAAGAAATAAAGAGGTACTTCATTAGTAAGTATAAATAAGTATTATTTATTGAGCACCACATGGCAGGCACCAGTCCAGCTCCTTGGTGGTGACAGCAACCCCTGCCCTCACAGAGTTTGATGGGTTGTCCTCTCTATCCGGCAGAACAGAACAACCTCATTGACAAGCAAGAGACTTCAGTCTGTGACTTTCAGAGCCTTCCCCAGAATCAAACTGATATTTCAAAGAGATTAAAAACTGAAGGGAACATATAATATTCCCTCAAAGCTGGGACTTCAGATTTAATGAAGGCTGTATCAGAAAGATATGACTCAGATATCAAATTACATTTATTTAGTCCAGCACAACTTAATAAATCACAGCCACATTTAATAAATATTTATCTTGTTTTAATCATCATTTAGTGTGTTTCAGTGGTCTCATCTCTCTAAATAGTTCAATATTTATTTGATATGATTTCCATTTCTGCGGTAATCTATACATCTTTATTTTATTTTTATCAGTCAAATTCCCTTTGCTCACTTCTGTGAGATTTAATTAAGATTCTTTTTTCCTAATTTTTAAATATAAATTTCTACATTTTTACAATTAAATCATTAATGAATAACATAATTTTGGTATGGATGTCCTATAGAGCAAAAACAAATTGCAGACATGGCACTAATTATTGCTGGATTAGGAAGTTCATCTTAGGTAAAGGTATTTTGTGATAATTATGCCTCCCACTATTGAGAAAAATTATATAAAGTTATAATATAGAAAAAAATACAATCAATAATATTATTTTCTATTTTGTATTTGATACAGTTCCTAGGTTTTAGTTAGTAAATGACAAATGAAACTATTAAACAATTTTGATAACTGTCATCAGCCTAGAGGTCAAGCTAGAGTATATTAAGATTTAAGTTGTCACATTTTCTTGAATTCCAACCTGTTTAAGAGCTTTATTGTGATTACTGTTTTTATAATAAAATGTATTGGGTTTTCATTATTTGTAGAGCACTGAATTTGTATTAGGTGTATCTAGAAGATGAGTAGCTGTTGAGAAGTGAAACCAGATTGTTGTAAATCACCATGTTTGCATTAGCTGAAAAAGCTCCTTGAGGACAATCTTGAATCAATTTTGCATCTTGCAGGGCCATGCGTATTATATGAAGGTATTAAATATTTTTCAAATGAGCAATGAATGAATACATGAATTATTTAGTCAATGAGTACAACAGAGAATCCTGGTCACCTTTAATAACCATTTTCCAAACTTCCCTAGATTTAGAATTACAAGTTTAAAATATGAGATTTATTTGTTACTTGAATTTTTTGGTGTGGAGAAAAGTAGTCAGTGATTTTGAGGATACTTGCTCATTATTACAGCCTACAAAATAGCCATTCCCTTCCCAGAGGCAATACCTGAGAATATGTGACAAACTACTATTTCATATATTTAAACATTGTTCAGGGTTCTGTTGATGCTATAGTAAATAAACCAAAACGATTCTTCCCTTAAAGGGTTTATGGGGTTTTAAATAAAAGTCAAATAGTAAAAGCTGTTATGAATAAAAATAAAGTAGGATAAGAGACATAGAGGGGAAAGAGGTAACACCTCTAAAATAAGATGTTCAGGGAAGAGCTTCTTGATGTTATTTAAATGGAGACCTGAAGAAAGTGAAGAAGCAGGCCATTCAAGATACCTGGGGGAAGAGTTTTCAGGAACAGAAAATAATGAGTAAAAATGCTTTGGGGCAGAAGGCAAAGAGTACCAAAGAGTCTAGTGTGTCTGAAAGAGTAAGTTAAAGAAAATTAATAGATTAGGTCAAAGAGTAGCATAAGGTAGATAATGTAAGACTTTGTTTGAAATTGGAAGCCAGTGGGTAATTTTAAGCATAGTGGTAAGACCTGACATATATTTAAAGAATTATGTTGAGTGGAGAATAGACTCTCTGCTAGAGAATTCAGTATGAAAGGATAAAGCCTAGTTGAGATCATTGCAATTGTTCAGACAAAATAAGATAATGGCTTTGATCATGTTTATAGGCATGCTAGTTGTAAGAACTCATCAGTTTTTTATGTATTTTGAGGGAAAAGACAACATGGTGTGTGCATGCGTTGAATGTAGGGTATAGGAGAAAGAGATGAGTCTAGAATCAAATTATGTTTTTTCACATGAGCAGCTAGAGTAATGGAAATGTTATTTCCTGAGATGGGAAAAGCCAGAGATGAATCTGGTTCAGCAGTGGTAGGAGTTGAAATTCAGAGTTCTCTTTGTGATGTTATTTTTGAAACGCCTGTTAGACTCTCATGTAAAGATGTTAATTAAGGAGCTATAGGATTCTGGATAAAGAAAGAGGTGTTGTGTGGAGATACGAATTTAGAATCCATTAGCATAAAGGTGGCATTCAAGGGACTGGAAGAGGTTACCTGGGAATTAAGTATAGATAGAGGAGAGAAGTTGTATAACACTGGACTCTAAATTATGGAGTTATAGAATTCACACATAGAATGATAAAATTTAATTGATATGAAACAATTAGAATTATAACAAAACAACACTAGAGAAGTGAAATATAGACTTTGTATTTTGAAAACCAAGTTACAATCAATCCGGTAACATATTTTTCTTCAAAGGTAAGGCACTGGAATTAACTGCCATCTTTTAAGGTCTCACCCAGCCAATTAGTCTATTAATCTTCCTTTAAACTTCTACCTATACAGGCTCCTTTCAAATTTTTTCCCTGCATTTCAGTCCCAAGTATTGTTAAGATGAGCTAAAATAGCAACTCTTCCTGAGATTGTGCAACCATGGATACCACTAGGTCCAAAATCAGATATAAGATAGGCTTTTATCATGCAGACTATCACTGATGGTTTGCAAAACACGGCTCTTGGTTGTTCATACTACCCTTGAGGAGGTGGAACCTTGATTGCTGGTAGGGTCAAGAAACCCATCTTCATAGCATCTTCTTCCTTCTAAGGTAGTGAATGCATTCCTTTAAGTGTCTGAATGGGAGAAACAAGTCCCTGACTTTTCTCTTTTGTTCTTGTAGAAAGGGAGACATTGTGAAAATCACATATAGACCAAATTATTGATTTTAACTATTTCCTGGTTTTACTAAGAAAGAACATGTAAAAATAAGCTAATGCAATTGAATTCAACATAGGGAAGACTGTTTTGACAATACGAATTGATACCATGCTGAAATATGTTATATATGTTATCATTTTCTAAAAATGTTAAGCATTTGAAGAAGTAGTGGGGCTCCATTTTTTTTCTACTAGACTTTCAAAAGCACAAGTATTTCCAGTTTAGAAGTGTAGGTGTAATTTGGATTAAAGAGCAGTGACCATTCTAAATTAACATCTTCAAAGTTCTTATGTAGTAAATTATTTTTTCAAAAATTTTATTTTCTTAGACAGATTAACTTCATTTACCCTCAATATGGCATAATCTTTCTCCTTTTTTCATTGCATTTTCCAGATGACTGAGCAAACAATAAAGATAGGTCTTGTATAAGAATAAGAAGGAAAAAAAACACAGCAAATAAAGCATACAACAGAATAAACCATGTTAAACAAATAGATCTTTCATATTAGGAAAATCAAACAGCTATCTCTTTATCATAGCAAGTGGGGAGGATAGAGATCTCTGTGGGTAATTACCTGCTCCATTGTCTTCTAAATCTAGATACAATCAGCTCTAGTCATTTTTTTTGGTCTGTTACAGTGCAAAAGGAAAATTGTAAGGTTACAATTTCTACGGTACTTCAGATACAAACTACAAAAGCTACAGATTAAAATGTTGAAAGCATGCTCAGAAGCAGACAGAATGTAGTAGGATATTTCACCATGCAACACCATGAAATAATAGTGTTGCTCTATTTGATTCTAAATCATAAAAGCGTAGCTAGTCAAAGAAAAATCTATATTATGAAGAAAGTATTTCATTACTTGAGATAAATGCCAATGGCTACATAAGGCTTGTCTACCAGGATTTCAGATATTGTGAGTCCACCTCAAAATTGTGAAATTTTATTACAGGAGAAACACACACTAAGGCAGATTTTCATTGCTCCTCACCCTGGTTGTTTATGGTTATGTTTGTTAAACAATGAGAGCTATTTTAATCCTGTGGTTCTGTCTTCTATTTGCATCTCTAAGAAAGTTTTTCTTCCTCATTACTTACTTCATCCATGTTCCCCTTACTTACAAAGAACAAATAATAAGGATTTACCATGTTTGTGTCACATCATTCTCATTTTAGTTTACATGGTATATCATCCTACTTTTGGACTGTCAAGACCAACATCACAGAATTTGCAAAATGTATCAAGGGATTATAGGCTTGTCCTACGATGAATCGTTGACATTAACTGACACAACAGAACTACCTTTATCTCCTCCAAGTATTCTGGGCATAATGTAAAGCCACTAAAAATCTTAGTAACAGATTAGCTTTCTAGCCTGATCTATCCGCATTTCATAATCTTTAAATTACCCAATTGGAAACAGCAGAGCCTCTTGCCATCATAGAAGAGTCTCAATGGAGAGACTACTAGTTGTTCAATATCATGGGTAGAAAGAGCTTATCACCAAAATGTTTCACTGCAGTTTTGTCTACCTTTTCGGTTTCCTATCAATTTACTAACTATCTATTTATCTATCCATTCATCTATCTTTCTCTATCTGTATATACTTACTGACCTAGCTACCTATCATTTATCTATCCTGTGTAGTATATAGATAGGTTTGAGAGCTCAGAAAATTCGGCATGACTTTTGGGGCAGGATCTATAGAGGTAGGGCAACTGAATTCCTGCAGATTCTACCTTAGGATCCCATGTGTTTGAGTGTGTGTGTGTGTGTCATATATACATATATATATAACACACACACACATATATATACACATATATATACACACACATATATATACACATATATATATACACACACACATATATATACACATATATATACACACACATATATATACACACATGTACACACATATATATACACATATATATACACACATATATATATATACACATATATATATACACACACACATATATATACACTTTAGCTTTTCATCAGCATCTTTACTCAATGCAAGGTCCAAGACTTCCAATATCAAAAGTGTTTTACATAACTCTATGGTGTAAGGCTCCTGGAAGTCATCAAGAGCTTGGAGAGTTTATAAGTGACACTACCATTAATAGCAGAGCTTGCATCCTATACTCACCCCTGCTCCCAGATCTTCAATCAATCATAATCCTTTCCCTCCACCCCAGCTTAAATCTAAAAGTTCTTCCTCTATTAGGAGAAACATTAATCAAATATAAATGACTATAAAGTGCAGAAGCATTTTTAGAAAAGGGAACAATGAAGCGCAAGTACAAGTACAGTTGAAAAGTTATCAAGTTTTGCTTATTTTTCCTATATTTAATGTTTTAACTCTTATGAGCAAAAGCAAGATGAAAAAGCAAATTTTATATGATTAATACATTGAAATGTATTTATCAAGAGTTATAGAATATATTGCATATCAAAATAGAGTATTTTGCAAAGAAGTTGACAGTTCTTTTTGTAAGGTGGTTGAAAAGTCATGTAATAAACTAAGGTTAATGCAGTAATATTATATTTTTATGATTTCCATCAGTATGTGAAGGACTTAGAATAATCGCAGGAAGACGTAATGGTTTTTTAGTACTAAAAATAGTATTTTCATTAACTTGTACCAAACAGAAAGTTTTCTGATCCTAGATTAAGAAACAATTGTAACCAATTTTTTATCGACATGTCTCCTTGTAGCCAAGGTTGAAATGTCTTCAGAGGTGCCCAACAGAGTACATGACATTTAGCTGATATTTTGGTCATAACTATGGAGTGACTGGTTTCTATAAATGAGAGGCTCCCTCCCTAGCTCACAAATTGTGCTGGTATAGGACATACCCCTGGTTCCTTACGGGCAGTGAAGCAAGGTTTTTCACATAACATCACATAGACATTCTGCCTCAATTCTTCCAGGTTACTGGGAGGTACTTGTGGCACAAGTGGAGCATCTAATCTTTCATAAAAGAAAATAAAATTTGAGGAAGCTAACTTTGGAGAGAGACCTCTGGATAAGGTGCCTTAGTTTCCCTTTACTAAGCACACTTCCACCTCTGGAGTTCTAAGATAATGCTCATTCTGTACATCCATTAAGGATACAAGAGTTTCAGTCTACCAGATTTTAAGTTTTAAATTTACTTTTTTTGTTTATTTTGTAATGAATAGTTAACAAAACAACCTACTGTTATTTGTAACTAGGCTTTGGCCTCATACAGTATTTGATGAATAGGAAAACATATTATGTCAGAAATGCAATAAGTTTGTTGAACTTTATGAACTAATTGTGTCATTAATTCTTGAGGGTTAAGAAACAGCAAATAGTTCAAATATCTTTAGGAAATTGCATTTTTGATTGCTTTTTTGTTAAGGCTTTTTCAAAGTTAGCCACAATTTCATGACCATGTATTACTTAAAGTGCTTTCTTTCAGATGAGCTGTAGAGTCAAATACCATAACACATTTATTTTTATAAAATAAATGCATCTGAACTATCTGAATTATTTATTATGTTAAAAAGTAGTAAATTCATTTTCTTGGTCCCTTTTTATGAAGAAAATTAAATAATGTATAATAGTACTATGAAAGCCTTATCCACTATTATTATTTGCTTATGAGAGGGAAAAGGAAATTACAGCTTATGGGCCAAATCTGTCTGGCCACCTGATTTTGTAAATAAAGTTATTTTTCAACACAGCCATGTTGATTCATGTACATATCATCCATGGCTACTTGTGTGCTCCCACAGGAGAGTTGAGTATTTGGAACTTTACTACAAATTAAAAAATATTTACTATCTGAACCTTTACAAAAACGGTTCCTGGCCTCTGGCTTAAGCTATGATTCAATGGGAAGGTAATCTTTATATATTTCCCACTATTTTCTAGTCTGATATCCTGGTCAGAAGATGTTAGTCTTGATACTTCATAAACAAGAATCTGAAATCCTAATCAAATTTTCAAATGTCATGACATATGTAGAAAAGTATTTTCCTTGAATCCAACATTATTATGCAAAGGCAGCTTCCACATTTCTAAAAAAAAATGATTAATGTGTATTTTGTCCTCATTTCCATGAGGATATATTATTTATCTGTAGTTATTTCTTCCTCCTCCTTTTCCATTCTTGCCATAGCATTTAAACAAGTCGTGTGTGTGTGTGTGTGTGTGTGTGTGTGTGTGTATGTACTGTCTATAAGATGAAAAAACATTTTTCTTGATTAATTTTTCATGCATTGGCCTCTTCACTTATGTCTCTATTTTTATTCCATAGCAGGATACTTTAATAGGACATCATTCAAGATTTCACTGCTATTACTATGTGTTATCATCTTCTATTTTACTCTTTCTTCAATTCACAGCCACTTTCTTTTTCCATGTCACATTTGTTCTTCCCCAGTGTAGTGATGTGTTCCCTTTGCATACTTAATTCCACTTGAGTAAAAGAGATAAAACATACCAATGCAGTTCTGTGAGCAAATCGTCCTGTAGTTCTCTTAGACTTCAGAGACATTTTTCTCTTAACTGGTCTCTGATGCTTTGACTTTTATTAACTGTTTTTAGCAAACTTTCTCTATTTAAAAGAGCCCTAAAAACAAAGTATAATATTGGCCACCACCGTAATATTAACCACTGCTAATATCAAGCCAGTCCCAACATGACCTATCACTGAATAATCTGACACTAACGATAAACCTAAGAAATCCAATATATGGCAAATGAGGTAGTAGAATCTATAGCAGTAATTAAAAAGAAACACTTAGAAATGTCTCAAATAGAGGATTATAAGCTTTTTAAGGGCGAGAAGCTTATATTTAAATTCTTTCTGATTCTCCACTAAATTCACTGTTTAACAAGAATGAAATAAGTGCTAAGAGCTGACTAATGTGGTATGGACATCCTGTAGGAAGTTATGTCTTTCTCAGTAGCTACGTAACAGAAGTTAAAAGTGTTATATTGAGTCCTTTGTCATTGCTGTTGACTACTCACTCATTCTCTTTTCCAACACTGTGGTTATCTTGCATGTTTCATTGTAAGACAAAGTAAATTCATCATTGGATTTTCCTATCTTTAATGACACACACTTAGAGAAATTGAGCAATCTTAAATTCATCTTCTTATAGAAGAGTATACCATTACAGGTAAAATCAATGTGGAGCAAGAGAAATATAACATGAAGAATGAGTATACGAAATACTTTTGAAATCATAGTAAAGATGTACCAAAAAATAGAAAGAAACATTTCCATTTGGTCACAGTCAGACAACATGTTTCATTACGCTGTCATATGAGTCATATAACATTCATTTCATGGATATCTAAAGTCAGAATCACTAGGGCAATATGAGAAGTAGATTGCATATTTGTATGTAACAGTTTTAACCACCCTATGAAAGCATCCATTTTAAGGTATCTGCTGTCATAGTTTTTAATTCTACAACAGAGGAATGGACATAGATTTTTGTTCTTTGGAGTGTCTCCCACTCAATTCACCTACAACTCTCAACCAAATACTTAATGGCTACTTTGTGTCAGATGCTGTCTTAGGCACATTTGGAGATTACGAAGATTCATTCATTTATTCAATAAAGGTTTACTAAGTGTCTCTTGTGTAATTTGCAAGGGTAAATATGAGAAATGAAAATCCCTACTCTCAAATAACTTGTAATCCGACTGAAGAAGTAAGACAAATGCATTTGAGTAAGAAGTGTGGTAAAAGGTAGTATGTGAAAAATATTGTTCAAATTTTACAATCAATAAATTTCAACAACAACGAAAAAACTGAAACAGCAGTTACCTGTGGCTGTAGGAATCTGAGACAGTCCGGGAGGAGAGGACACCTGAACTGTATTAGTTAAGACCTAATAATAATAACAAATAAGTTCATGGAGGAGAGGGGAGTGACTGTGAGAGAACAAAAAGATGCTAAAAGGGAGTTGGGTCAAGCAAGTGACTAAGGACCCCCATTTTGTCTGTGTTATATGCATTTAAATATGCTGGCAAGTGTGATGAAAGGTAGGGAAAATGAGGCAGGAGAACACATAGATAAGAAAAAAAATTACCCAACTATAGCAGGAAATTTATTACTTGGATAAAAAACATCTTGGAAAAAATAAATTCACTTTTCTAATTTTAAAATGTTTTTGATATAATCTTTGGAACTCTATGAACTATTTGTTCAATTTTATATCACCAAATATGTATGTACGTGCATGCGTGTGTGTGTGTATGTATATAGACACAAAAGTTTATGTATTTAAAAATTTTAAACTTAATAAATTTGGATGTATGCTTAAAAATTTTAAAGTTGTTACAATTTTAGAGATAATAAATTGGCAGTTTTTCTATTGAGTTTTGAGAAAAATAAAGTATTTGTTTTCTGTAAATGTATTTAGTTAGCTAATGTCTAAGGTCCATTATATATTATAATGATAGTTATTTGATTATCAATTTAAATAAGTGATGATTGCAAATACATGGATCTTTTTGTTTATTACAGAATTGTTAGGCTTCATTAAGTAGCTTCTGAATCAGCCTTGATTATTTTCCATATATTAGTTCTTCAATAAAAATGGTGCTGTTCTAGTTGAACTTTCTCTACAACTTTACAATCCTAAGAAATATCTTTTTGGAGACATATCCCTCTTTGCCCTATCTTAAACACAATCAGCTCACTTACAGTATATAAATATTTTTTTGAGACAGGGTCTCACTCTGTTGCCCAGGCTGGAGTGCAGTGTTATGATCATAGCTCACTGCAGCCTTGATCTCCGGGGCTCCAGTTATCCTTCTGACTCAGCCTCCTGCGTTGCTGGGACTACAAGCCCCACATCACCATGCCCAGCTATTTTTTTCTTTTTCAGTAGAGATGAGGTCTTGCTATATTGCCCAGTTGGGCCTGAACATGAGCCACCATACTCAGCCCATTTGCAGCATATTTTAATGCGTAACACATGAAATAATGTTGGTCCAGAGTGCCCAGGTTTTAATTGCAGAGAAATTAAGATAGACTTTTTTTCCTGGGATCTTGCTCTAGGTGATGGCTTCCTTCTGCACTTGACTCTTTCCCCTGCTTTTGGGTGACTCCTACTTGTTTTTGGTATGTGTTAGGCCGTTCCTGCATTGCTATAAAGAAATACCCAAGACTGGGTAATTTATAATTAAATAAGTTTGATTGGCTCACAGTTTTGTAGGCCATATGGAAAGCATGGCACTGGCATCTGCTTCTGAGGAGGTCTTAGGAAGCTTTTTCTCATGGCCTATGGTAAAGCAAGAGCAGGCATGTATCGTGGCAAAACAGAAGCAAGGGAGGGGAGCAGGGAGGAGGTGCCACATACTTTTAAACAACGAGATAATGTGAAAACTCACTCACTCTGGTAAGGACAGTACCAAGCCATGAAGGATCTGCCCCCATGACCCACACACCTCCCACCAGGCCCCACCTCCAACACTAGGAATTACATCTCAACATGAGACTTGGAGGGGACATCCAAATTGTATCACAGGAGGTTTTAGAAATGTTTAGAAACCTTCCTTCCTTGATTATAGGCACTCTCTGCCCTGATTCAATGTCCCTTTCTTCCCATTCATGCTACCATATCTGGCTTCAGGGGCTCATTGATCCCCCTACATATCCTAAACAGTGTGTGGAAAAATAAAGTTTTCCTTGCATTTAACTAAAATAAGATTAAAGTTTACTGATATTTTAATTTTAAATAAAAACAAAATATAAGAGCAGTGAGTGGATTTTAAAAAGCAAAGATTTCAGAACTGACTCGTTAGCTAAAATTGGTCTTACCTTGGCTTGGTTCAGGAAGCTGCTAATTTCCCTCACCTCAAATATAAGATAATCCCGTGTAGAGGAATACACACTGAACTGAAACACTCAAACACCTACCCAAAGCCTCATTGGTTTAATAAATATTTTGATCTTCAGGCTCCCTCATAACCTATTTTGTATTTTTATTTAGAGGCAGAGATCCCAGAGTCATTCTTTTCATTCCAGGTTAGGTTGAAGTTTGTGCTGTTTGCCTGGCCTTGACCTTTTTGATCTTTATTTCGCGAACACCAAAATATCTGCTCCCCTGTGTTTCTCTATACTTGGAAACTCGACCTAATTTCCTATCTCGTTGTGCTTTTCTCCCATCTGATTTACCTTCCAAAATGCATACTAACCTGCTGATGGGACTGGTCCTGCTCTCTGGGGTGGCCCTTTGTCCATAAAAGCCCTATGAACTTCCTGGTGGATTAACTGCCTTTCTTGGGGCAAGGCCCCCTCACATCATCTTTCTATATTTCTTGCACCCTCTCCATTACTAAGTTTCTACTTAATACATGAATTTGACCTATTGACTCCTAAGAACTGAATACTAAAGGAAAGATACAGAACTAGTATGTGGTGCCTGCCTTCAAGGTGCTTATACCTAATTGGAGGGATTACTATATATTTGCATCACTGTTTTTTCTGGCCACCATGCCCTTGTGTTCTATCAGAACAGTGTCTATAGCCTTGTGTATTTGCAAAGCAGAAATGATTAACATTATTTTTGTCCAGTTATTAGGTGTTTCTTGGCTTAGATTACTAGATTGCTTCTCCTGGTTCTCTTTGCCGAATCTATCCTTAATTATCTCCAGTGGTATGATGAAACAGCATCCTATCACTATAGGCGTACAATATCAAAATTATTTTAAACCCAGACTCTAAGTCCTAGAGAAATAGTGAAAGTCAAATGTTTTTATGAAAAGAAGAGAAAGGTCATGAAAAGGAGATTCGTGGAATAAACATTCAGACTTTAACATGGCTTGTATGTTAAAGTAATTATTGGCTACTTTTGCAGAGGGAGAGAGAAAATTCCATAATATGTAATTGAACCCATAAAATGGCTTTGTTATTCCTGAAAATGTTTAAAAACATTGTTCCCTTTCTACAATAGTCAAACTTTCACTCATGGCCCATGAAAGCATCCTTAGAAATGTGAGGAGTTTGTCTGTTCGCTCTGATGATAGTTTCTTTTGTTTTTTTTTTCTGAGGTGGAGTCTCGCTCTGTCACCCAGGCTGGAGTGCAGTGGCATGATCTTGGCTCACTGCAAGCTCCACCTCCCGGGTTCACACCATTCTCCTGCCTCAGCCTCCCGAGTAGCTGGGGCTACAGGCGCCCGCCAGCACGCCTGGCTGATTTTTTTTTTTTCTTTTTTTGTATTTTTAGTAGAGACGGGGTTTCACCATGTTAGCCACGGTGGTCTCGATCTCCTGACCTCGTGATCTCCCCGCCTCGGCCTCCCAAAGTGCTGGGATTACAGGCGTGAGCCACTGATCCCGGATGCTCTGATGATAGTTTCTATTGCTGTGCCCTTTAGTTTAATTAGATCCCATTTGTCAATTTTAGCTTTTGTTGCAATTGCTTTTGGTGATCTCATCATAAAATCTTTGCACATGCTTATGTCCTGAATGGTATTGCTTAGGTTTTCTTCTAGGGTTTCTATGGTTTTGAGTTTTACATTTAAGTCTTTAATCTATCCTGAGTTAATTTTTATATAAGGTAGAAAAGGGTCCAGTTGCAGTTTTCTGCATATGGCTAGCCAGTTTTCCCAGCACCATTTATTAAATAGGGAATTCTCTCCCCATTGCTTGTTTTTGTTGAAGATCAGATGGTTGTAGATGTGTGGTGTAATTTTGGAAGAAAATTTTTGCAGTCTACCCACCTGACAAAGGTCTAATATGCAGAAATTACAAGGAACTTAAACAAATTTACAAGAAAAAAACAACCCCATGGAGAAGTGGGCAAAGGATATGGACACTTCTCAAAAGAAGACATTTATGCAGTCAATAAACATATGAAAAAAAAGCTAATCATCACTGATCATTAGAGAAATGCAAATCAAAACCACAGTGAGATACCATCTCACGCCAGTCAGAATGATGATTCTTTTTTATTATTTTTTTTATTTTTTTTCATTTAAGCTTTCATTTTATTTTTTTATTTTTATTTTTTTTTAAATTTGTTTAGTATTTATTGATCATTCTTGGGTGTTTCTCGGAGAGGGGGATTTGGCAGGGTCATAGGACAATAGTGGAGGGAAGGTCAGCAGATAAACATGTGAACAAAGGTCTCTGGTTTTCCTAGGCAGAGGACCCTGCCGCCTTCCGCAGTGTTTGTGTCCCTGGGTACTTGAGATTAGGGAGTGGTGATGACTCTTAAGGAGTATGCTGCCTTCAAGCATCTGTTTAACAAAGCACATGTTGCACCGCCCTTAATCCATTTAACCCTTAGTGGACACAGCACATGTTTCAGAGAGTACGGGGTTGGGGGTAAGGTTATAGATTAACAGCATCCCAAGGCAGAAGAATTTTTCTTAGTACAGAACAAAATGGAGTCTCCTATGTCTACTTCTTTCTACACAGACACAGTAGCAATCTGATCTCTCTTTCTTTTCCCCACATTTCCCCCTTTTCTATTCGACAAAACCGCCATCATCATCATGGCCCGTTCTCAATGAACTGTTGGGTACACCTCCCAGATGGGGTGGCAGCCGGGCAGAGGGGCTCCTCACTTCCCAGACAGGGTGGTGGGGCAGAGGCGCCCCCCACCTCCCAGACGGGGCGGCTGCCGGGCGGAGGGGCTCCTCACTTCTCAGACGGGGCGGCTGGTCAGAGACGCTCCTCACCTCCCAGACGGGGTAGCGGCGGGGCAGAGACACTCCTCAGTTCCCAGACAGGGTCCCGGCCGGGCAGAGGCGCTCCCCACATCCCAGACGATGGGCGGCCGGGCAGAGACGCTCCTCACTTCCTAGACGGGATGACGGCCGGGAAGAGGCGCTCCTCACTTCCCAGACTGGGCGGCCAGGCAGAGGGGCTCCCCACATCCCAGACGATGGGCGGCCAGGCAGAGACGCTCCTCACTTCCTAGACGGGGTGGCGGCAGGGCAGAGGCTGCAATCTCGGCACTTTGGGAGGCCAAGGCAGGCGGCTGGGAGGTGGAGGTTGTAGCGAGCTGAGATCACGCCACTGCACTCCAGTCTGGGCAACATTGAGCACTGAGTGAGCGAGACTCCGTCTGCAATCCCGGCACCTCGGGAGGCCAAGGCTGGCAGATCACTCGCGGTCAGGAGCTGGAGACCAGCCCCGCCAACACGGCAAAACCCCGTCTCCACCAAAAAATACGAAAACCAGTCAGGCGTGGCGGTGCGCGCCTGCAATCCCAGGCACTCGGCAGGCTGAGGCAGGAGAATCAGGCAGGGAGGTTGCAGTGAGCCGAGATGGCCGCAGTACAGTCCAGCCTAGGCTGGGCATCAGAGGGAGACTGTGCAGAGGGAGAGGGAGAGGGAGGGGGAGGGGGAGGGGGAGAGGGAGACAGAATGATGATTCTTAAAAGTCAAGAAACAGCAGATGCTGGCAAGATTGTGGAGAAATAAGAAGGCTTTTACATTGTTGGTGTGAATGTAAATTAGTTCAACCATTGTGGAAGACAGTGTGGTGATTCCTCCAGGATCCAGAACCAGAAATACCATTTGACCCAGCAATCCCATTACTGGGTATATACCCGAAGGAATATAAATTATTCTATTATAAAGATACATGCACATGTATGTTTATTGCAGCACTATTCACAATAGCAAAGATGTGGAACCAACCCAAATGCCCATCAATGATAGACTGGATAAAGAAAATATGATACATACACACCATGGAATACTATGCAGCCACAAAAAGGAATGAGATCACGTCCTTTGCAGGGACATAGATGAAAGCTGGAAGCCATCATCCTCAGCAAACTAACATAGGAACAGAAAACCAAACACCGCATGTTCTCACTTCATAAGTGAGAGCTGAACAATGATAACACATGGAGACAGGGAGGAGAAAACACACACGGGGCTTGTTGGTGGGGGTTGGGGGCGAGAGCAGGGTGGGCATCAGGACAAATATGTAGTGCATGCAGGGCTTAAAACCTAGGTGACTGGTTGATAGGTGCAGCAAACCACCATGGCACATGTATACCTATATAACAAACCTGCAGGTTCTGCACATGTATCCCAGAACTTAAAGTAAATAAATAAATTAATTAATTAAAAAATAAGAAATATGACAAGTTTTATTTTTGATTTGTCATTTCTAACCCAGAAGTTGATAGTCCTTTGTTCTGTTCTTTCAAGGGTCACTTTCATTTTCTATAAAATATTATATTATTATCTCAATATTACATTTCCATTCCATACCTATGTTAACAGGACATAAGGTGCCAACACACCTTTTATGCAAATGACATAAAAAGGTACAGAGTGTTTGGTTTGTTTTTATTTTCAAATATTGACTCACATGCTCCCTGCTTCAAATAGTAAGCACATGCAGATGCGTGAAAAGTATTGTTCTTTAACCTTAGCATCCTGACTCCAGCAGCTATCTTCCTTCTTTCAGGAGGTACAGGCCAATGGTATCTCTTTCTGTTTAACAATAAGTGACCTCAAGGTGGCAGTCTTTCAGAATACAGTATTGCTCTTACATTTTGGCACCTGTATTTTGAAGATTTGGTGACTATTTAGTAATATTAAGAAATCAACACAAATATTTTCTCTTGTAGTCCTTTTGGACATCACATTGAATTTCACAGAAGTTCTTACCATGCAGATATTTTAGCACCAACTTTTTAGTACTATTCATGGTTCATTAATTGGATTCAAGATTTTGTAGCCAAGTCCCCTCGTCCCTTTTCTTGCTCATAACTAATGTTTCTTTATGTTCAATGTGTTTTAAAGTCCTATTTTTTTTGTTCCATTGCCTACAAAATAAATCTTAGATAGCTTACCCAAAGAATATACAATAGTGGATGGTTGTTAAAAGCACAGTTTTGGAGGACAGACACATATGTTGGCTGCATATCTTAGAAAGAGCAACAGTGAATTTTCAACCAAATCTGTACCTCTGTCAAGTTAGCTGACCTATTCAGTTCCTTCCTTAATAGCACCAACCCACTGGTTTATTGGTTACATTTAATGAGACTGTCATTGTGAAACACTGAGTACAGGGCCTGGTAGCTGCTGTATGCTCAATACCTCATAACTATACTTATTAATCACAGCCAGCATCATACTCCAAAAGCATGCTCCTCACAGCCCTTCGGTACTACCTAAAATATCCTCTTCACAGTAATTTTAGGATTGAGGTACTGACTGTAGCCAGAAAGGCATTTAACAGGAAAACAACATCACCCACTTAGTGTGGTCTGATTTGTTAAATTAGCTGATTTTACCTCCACTTCATACATAACCACAACAAATCAGAAAGGATAGACTGATAAAAAGATGAAGTTGAAAGACATAGAAAGTCTAGAACTTGAAGTGAGGATTCATGTGTGTGAGAACGGGACTTGGGAGCAGTACAGCAATTAAATCCTGGAAGCCCAGCAAGACCAGGGTGCCTGGAGTGCGGATTTATATGTTTCTTCCTATTTTCTACTCCCTCTATGTCTCCTGAAATCCAAAGAATATTGTCTTATTCAAAATATTCTCATACGAAACATAGGAGATCTGATGTTTCTAAATTATAGTAAAATTTACTCAGTGTATCATCAACAATAATCACTTTGAATTTTAATAAAACATACGAACATATATTATTATGTTAACTTTGTTAGCGTTTTTATGTTATAGTTGACAAAATAAAGCTTAGAGAATTGCCTTCTAAGTTCCCAGGAATAAGTAGTATACTTTGGACAACATAGGCCCTAAAATAAGAAAGACTTAAATCTAATTCTGGCTCAGCCACATGCTTGCAATACAACCCAGTGATATTGAAACTGAGTCTCAGCAGCCTCTTAACTGTGAAAAGTTGACAGCATAGTTTTTCCCTTGCAGGGTTTTTATGAAACCACATCTATGAAAATCCAAGTTTGTATGTGAAAAGATGTAGCACAGTGCATGACATGTTATGCCTATTTAATTATGCCAATTTTTGTCTGCATGATGTTATGTTCCATACTCTTCTTGATTATTCCATGGAAAGATGGACCATTATTGAATCCTTTGTACTTCCAGGTTGAGAAAAGAGTTGACACTCTTATATCCTCATCTAGATCCTGGACTGTCTTCCTACTTCTTTTGTCATGCATCCATCTACTCCCTTACTTACTCATTCATTCATTATTTTGACATTTACTGAAGTGCATTACATTCTGCTTTCTTTAGCTTTTTCTTTTTTCAGTCAAAATATTTGGCACTTTAAAAAAGTGGTTATGAGTATGAGAAGATTCTGATTCCCGAAGTCCTGGGACTTCCGATCACTACCACAATATTTGACTGCTACTACACATTTTCTATATTAAATATGGCCCTTCTTGGAAATACTGGAAGAAATAGACAAGCCATCAATGGAAATTTTTTACTTTCTACGCTTATTAAGAAAGATAATCCTTTTGAGAAGGTATGTAATAGAGAGGGCATGTTACACTGCAATAGCAGACATCCAGTTTTCAGTAGTTTAATATTATAGCCATTTATCCATGCCTGAGTAGGCACTCAGATCAGCAGAAAAATTCTACCCCAAGTGTTCATTAAGGGATGCCAGTTTCTTCTATCTTGTTCCATCATGTTATAGAGCCATTTGATAATAATCTCCAGCCAGAGAAAGAATTAAAAGCAATTATGGAGGATATATACCACCCTTTAGAATAGCTTTGGTCTGGGAGCTATACACTCATATAGGCTCATACCCATTGTCAAGACATAGTCATACAGACACACTTCATTAGTTATAAGGGGAGGTGTTGAGCCGGAAACCTACTTCTGGAGGAGAAAGCATAACAGGGTGCAGTGGGCAGTGAGAGATCTCTGCCACAGTGTATTGAAGAGAAACTATTTCAATTGTATGTTTGTTTATTCTAAAACACTAACTTGCTATTCTATTGATACGTTGACTGGTATCATTTGCTAAAGAATCCCTCAAGGAATAGTAATTTAAATTCTGCCTCTTCCCATATGCAAAACACATTATTTGGCAGTGTGGGTGGCATTAGTTGTAGAGGGGGGGTAATCCTTCTTGGTCTAATTTTAAATAACAGACCAAATTTAGTGCTGCACCAGCAAAGTATTCAATTAAAATCACATTATTAAAATAAAAATTAAAGTTCTGTTGCTGAACTGCTTGGCTGAATGCACCAATTAAAAGTTTTCTTATCTTCCTGACCCCCTCTCCAATGTATTTGGGAAAAAGAAAAGGCATAAACACAAATGCACACACAACTTTCTGACTAAATAAACTGGGGTTGAAGATAAACTTTGTTCCTCAAATACTGTAATTGTACAATTACCTGTGGTGTTTAAGACATGTGTAATGTGACGAATAAAATAAAAAACACACAATGCAAATACTTTACTAAAATGAGTATAGTGTCTAGTTTCTCGTACTTAAAAACTAGTTTTTACAACTATATTTAACCTTACTTTTCTTCCTTTCTCTTCTTGTCTTCTTAGGATAATTAGAGAAGTCACCAGAAATAGTTGGAAATGGTGGGGGCTGGGAAGTCAGGGTAACACTGTGGAAAATCCTTAATTTAGACTGTGGCCTGTAATTTTAAATTCAGTTTTTGTTCTCCTTCAAGTAGCCAATAGACCAGGAAAGATATCATTCTAGAACCCAGATGTGTTAAGCAAGTTTTGGACCCTAGATATGCTGGATAGGTCTTCTATACCCTCTCTTGCTACTATAGAATATCTTCCAAACACATGTCATTTTTCCTTACTTTTCAAAATGTTTTTCACTCTTTGTTTGTAAGACATTTCTTGTCCAGAGTCCCTTGATGTCACTTAAATGTAAAAGTGCTCTAACAGTCCCCTTTTGCCCCTTGAGAGCCCTACTACAGTGGGTATGCTTTAGCATTCATCCACCTCCAGGCAATTTCTTTCTTGTCAAGATCTCTTTGTGGATATAAGCAATACAGGGTCCTGTGAAGCAACATGTTCTCCAGCTTGATGCAACTGCCATTTTCCTTCTTCCTTTAGCCATTTGATTTTTCAGGCAGTTAGTTTTTCTATTCTAATGGAAAAATCTGCAAGCTTATTTGTAAAGCTTTGAATTCATTTGAACATTGATTGTACCTTCACTATTTTTCCAACACTCTGTGTGGCACTGAAAATACACAGATCACAGCAACTACTGTCCGGTTGGAAAGTGGCTTTCATATTTTTGTGCATTTGCACATCTGATTATGTTTTGTAAACTACACTAAAGTCAAAATCTCTCTTGTTTTAAAAGAATTCATCCTCCAAAAACATTATGGACAGAATGCTAATAATTGTTTGAAGTGTTTTTAAAATGTCAGAAGTAGAGTTATCACTAATCTCAATTTTAAAATTGATCCCTTTGATATCTCTGTGTGATGGGGCAACAAGAAGTGAGAAGGTATATATTTAAAATGTACGAAAATTCCAGAAACTGACATCTCTCAGTATTGGCCTTTTGCCACATCGGGTTTTAGGAAAAAAGCAGGAAATGTTGTCTGGAAAGATCCAAAAATATTATTTATAAACATAGATGAATTCACATCTTGTATACATACCAAACACGTACACACCTGAATATGAGGACACCTGCATACAAAGACACAGGACACATTCACACACTCCAAGTAAAAAGTAAGTGGGGGAAATAAAACTAAGTGGAGGAAGAGACTGTAAGTGTAGTCTTGAGGCCATATTCTGAAGCTGCTTTATTTTTCCAACATTTTGAAATTGTGCAGAGACCTCCTGGATAGTGGTTTTAATCAAGACCACATCCTGAAGAACATAGTCCCTCATTCTAGGAAATGTATGCATTTGTTGCAGAAGCATGGCAAGATTGAGAGCCATGAAGACGTGCTTAAGATTATGACTTGAAATGCCTGCAGGACAAATTAATTGAGAGAAAGAGTTCCTTGTCTCCAGAAACTCTATCCGTGGATAATTCTTCATCTTAATCAAATTACCTTAAATGAATGCCCTTTATTCTGTCTTCTCAGTGAAATTTAAAAAGAAAAACTTCATACAAGATTTTTAAATTTATTTATTATTATTATTTTGAGACAGAGTCTCACTTTGTTGCCCAGGCTGGAGTGCAATGGTGTGATCTCCTCTCACTGCAACCTCTGCCTCCCAGGTTCAAGCAATTCTCCTGCCTCAGCCTCCCGAGTAGCTGGGATTACAGGCACGCATCACCACGCCTGGCTAATTTTGTATTTTTAGTAGAGATGGGGGTTTCTCCACATTGATCAGGCGGGTCTCGAACTCCCGACCTCAGGTGATCTGCCGCCTCAGCCTCCCAAAGTGCTGGGATTACAGATGTGAGGCACCGCGCCTCACCAAGGCTTTATTTTTATATGTGATTTCTATTAGACTGTGGTTAAACAATAATTGGTTGGAAAAATAAAGTCTGTGTGAACAGATTGGTTTCCCAGTGGGAATGAGCTCCAAATATCAGGGAGAGAAATGACCTAGAATCTTGAAAAGCTGAAACATTCCCAGGAGGAGGCTGCCTCTCAGGCTTTGCATAGCTTCTCATCCCTGAGAAGTGCACTGTATTGAAATAGGTCAGCATGTGGAGAGATATTAAAGAGATGTTATCTGCCCTCTGAATCATGTTATTAAGTGCTTTATTTTCCCCTAGAAATTGAGGAAAGCAAGACCTCATTAAAGCAAATCAGGCCCAAATTTACAAGCATGTTTTGACTCTCTTGCAATGCGTTCAGCCTTGAACTCAGATTTAGATTACGAGGATAACAGAAATGGGCAAAGGGAAATCCGAATGCACCCGCCATCTTCTGTTTGGTAATAATTTTCCTATACCTCGGATATCTGTGTCTTCACTGTTCATAATACTTGGGTAAGTGTTGCTTGGAATACATTAAAACTTGAGTTCCAGGAACTACTTTGAAGGATCTTACAGTCAGGAAAGAGCAAGAAGAAGTGCTAATAATGTCTACATTTAATTTGAAGAAATAGACAAAGTATAGTCATGTACGTATCTGATTCAGCCTATGACCTCAGGTACTGTACGTGAACTATCTCATTTAAGTCTGACAAAAATCTAGTGAGATGATTATATGCTCAATTCCATTTTGCAGGTGAAGCAGCTAGAGTTAAGTAATGAGCTCGAGGTCACACGGTTTTTGTCCCCAGTCTCTCCAAACTTTATGGGCTTTGTATGTAACTGCCAGAGAAACCTTAAATACTTCTTTATTAGAATTTAAATCCCTACTGATTTGTTCCAATGGCCCCCATTGCTGACTTAATAAAATAAAACTCTGTGATGGATTTGAGACCCTAGAGTCTGGGCCATACTTTGCTGCCCTCTCAGCCTCTACTTTCACGGGAACCAGCTGATTTTCTCTTCTCCTCTCGTTACGTCTCCACATAACGTATACTTTCCAATACCTGAGCCTTTTCTCCCACCTTAAGAACTCCTTGATTTCTCCCACTTAATGAACTTCTTAGTTTCTAGGTGATGAGAATCTAACCTTTCCCTGCCACAATTAAGAAAGACCAGTCATCCTGGCTGGGTCTCTGCCATGGCACTTGGTATTTGCTTGGCCTATACCTGGCTGTCTTTCTCCTCTGAATACTGTACTTGTACCAGTTGTCTATAATTATCAGCTTCTGCTCTTTTCCCAGGCTGACTGCCTATATTTTTCTGTAAGGGCTGCTCTAAAAATAAAAGCACAACAAATTGAATGGTTTAAACAACAGAAATGTATTGTTTTCCAGTTCTGGATGTTAAAAGTCAGATCTAGGTGTCAGCAGGGTTAGTTTCCGCTGAAAATTGTGAAGAAGAATTTGTTCTATTCCTCTCTCCTAATTTCTGGTGGGTTTCTAGCAATCTTTGCTGTTCCTGGGATTTTAGAAGCATCACCTTGATCACTGCCTTCATCTTCACATGAAGTGAATCTGTCCAAATTTCCCCTTTTTATAAGGACATCAGTTATACTGGATTAGAGTTCATCCTAATGACCTCATCTTTATTTAACTAATCACATCTACAATGCTGCCCCTTTTCCCAAATAAGTTCACATCTGAGGTACTGGAAATTAGGGCTTCTGAGTACTAAATTTGGAGGGACATATTTTAACGCATAACACTGCCCCAATATTTACCCAGTGCTCTATTTATGGCCCTCTCTGATTTCCTTAGCCACCACTGAATCCTACGTTCTTATACCTTTGTTACTTTATGTAGTATCCAGTGACCTCTGAATGATAGCAGGAATTTGGGAAATGAAAGCAGTTATTACAGATCCTAGGGTAAGTCAAGTCTGAGACTCCCAACCAAGTAACTGCATCACAGAATAGGTTCCAGCAGGGAACAGAGAGAGAGTTGTAGTCACAATTATTTGGAAAGGAGTACTTGGCAAAATTCAACTTCTTTTCGGTTTGCCTTTTGATTATGAACTTGACGCATTGGGTACTATGGCTATGTCTACAAAGGCCCAGCCTAATCATATAGAATGAAGTATGGCTGAATAGTGGAGCTGAAACCCAGAAAAATGGCATTAAGTCCTTCCAAATGTCATTAAGACAATATTTTGGATCAAATCAGATGAATAAATGTTTCCTTCCTGGATCTGGAACAAAAGAGCAAAATATAGCTTATCAGTGTCTCTTTGAGTAACCATGCAATTCTACAAACACATTACTTTACCCACATAACCCATTACAGGGCATTCACAACAACATTATGGCTTTATCATGGCTACAAATTTGGCTTGTTAAATCAATGAGGTATTTTTAGTTTTGGCAGATGTTACTGTGACTCTGTTTAAGAATCACTTTGTCCTTTTACATTCAAACCATTTTTAAAGGTTAAGAAAAGAAAACCCAATTTTCCCACCAAGACTTAGAAAACATTTTAAAAGATTGTATTGTGGCTTGTAACTAAGTTATACAAATTTGCCATGATCTCTTTTCCAAAAAGAAAAATCCTTCAATATTTACTATTAATTACAAAGGAGGGAGAATCTTTTAAAATGCCAAAGAAATAGAAAATAGAGAAGGGAATGAGACCTTTGTCTGCAGATAAGTATATCAAGATCAGAAGCAAGAAGTCAAAAGTGTGCAGGTAATTGGTAGAGAACAAGGACTAGCTATACTTTTAAATGCTTTTAAAATTCTAACCTTTTCTATTTTATATCCAAGCTCCATCAGTGGCTATATAACTGTGGAAAATACTTAAACTTTCAGGATAGCTTACTCAAGCCTATTCCTGACTCACCTGTAGGCAGTCACTAAAATTATTGGTAAAATATAAAGAAGGAACTAACTTGTGAACATAATATGCAAAGCTAAAACTATATTTTGAGATAACTAATATCTTGGATTCAGACTCCATCAACACCATTTATCCCACAAGCACCAATTGTTTTATTCAGAGTTACCCAACTCTTTATTAAATTTAGTTGAATTTGGTCTACAGTACAGTTCGGGAGATTTTGTCATTTGCTGTCAGAGATTTAAGGTGTTACCATGACAGGGACATGAAAAGTTGGCAACACAGGCAGCAAGAGGTAGTGGCTTTTAAGGCTTTTATCAAAAGAAACAAGGCTAATAATATGAAAAATAATGGGTATATGAAGAGGATTAGGAGAAACAAATGTGTAGCATAAGTAGATAAGGCCACTGTGGGAAAATGACGAAGAACAGAGGGAATTTCCACAGGACAATAGAGGGGAGAAGTCTCAGAGGAATGCAAAATGAGATAACACGGGGCTTTATTGCTCTAAGTTTGAAACATGTTTTATACATTTAATTAATAATGAAAAGATTAGAAGACTATAATTTTCTGTATAATTACAGAAAAGTAAATAAGTGATCCCTTTTTTGTTTCCACATGAGTACATTGTGCTATATTTCTCTTAAGCAGCAAGGGGGTTGTTTAAAATTCTGTATTTGGAATCTTCTCATAGAATGCAGATGGACTCTTCAGCAGTCATTTAAAACTTTTCAATCACAAGAGAAAAGGAAGAAAATAAGGAGGAATTCAGAATTGGTAAAATGCTAAGAGGGAGGTGAATACAAGGAAATAAATACTATCCACTGGCATCTTTCAGTCAGGAAAAAAGTCATGCCCTTTCAACAGTTTTCCGTAACTTTTTTTTTTTACTAATATCCACTATTTTAAAATAATTCTTACCAATTAGTAAAGGTTGTTTTGGACAGGTTTTGTCTTTTTTCAATCAAAATTTATTTATTATCTTATATGGTATTTTGTGTCCAGAACTCAATAAATCAAATTCTTTAACCTCTATTTTCTTTTATTATTCTCATCTGTGAAATCTAGATAATAATACTAACTAGCTCTTAGAGTAGTGTATATCAAAATGAATTGTTACCTTAAAGAAACTTCAAGAATGAAAAATACTCCTTGAGAAATATCTGTTATTATTTCTGATAATAAAATCATCACTTATATGAATTAAATAAGCCAAAAATATTGCCACTTTATTCTAATTGAATAAAAGTGTGTGTGTGTGTCTGTGTGCACTCACACATTTATATTTTGATGTTTTGGGGGAATGCTGTGAAGATACTTTAAAACTGTGGTTTAAAAATTTCATGCAATATCTTGTTAAAATTATTTTATAGTTTTTTGAAAGGATCAACAAAATTGATAGACCGCTAGCAAGACTAATAAAGAAAAAAAGAGAGAGGAATCAAAAAGACGCAATAAAAAATGATAAAGGGGATATCACCACCGATCCCACAGAAATACAAACTACCATCAGAGAATACTACAAACACCTCGATGCAAATAAACTAGAAAATCTAGAAGAAATGGATAAATTCTTCGACACATACACTGTCCCAAGACTAAACCAGGAAGAAGTTGAATCTCTGAATAGACCAATAACAGGAGCTGAAATTGTGGCAATAATCAATAGCTTACCAACCAAAAAGAGTCCAGGACCAGATGGATTCACAGCCGAATTCTACCAGAGGTACAAGGAGGAACTGGTACCATTCCTTCTGAAACTATTCCAATCAATAGAAAAAGAGGGAATCCTCCCTAACTCATTTTATGAGGCCAGCATCATCCTGATACCAAAGCCGGGCAGAGACACAACCAAAAAAGAGAATTTTAGACCAATATCCTTGATGAACATTGATGCAAAAATCTTCAATAAAATACTGGCAAACAGAATCCAGCAGCACATCAAAAAGCTTATCCACCATGATCAAGTGGGCTTCATCCCTGGGATGCAAGGCTGGTTCAATATACACAAATCAATAAATGTAATCCAGCATATAAACAGAACCAAAGACAAACACCACATGATTATCTCAATAGATGCAGAAAAGGCCTTTGACAAAATTCAACAACCCTTCATGCTAAAAACTCTCAATAAATTAGGTATTGATGGGACATATCTCAAAATAATAAGAGCTATCTATGACAAACCCACAGCCAATATCATACTGAATGGGCAAAAACTGGAAGCATTCCCTTTGAAAACTGGCACAAGACAGGGATGCCCTCTCTCACCACTCCTATTCAACATAGTGTTGGAAGTTCTGGCCAGGGCAATTAGGCAGGAGAAGGAAATAAAGAGTATTCAATTAGGAAAACAGGAAGTCAAAATGTCTCTGTTTGCAGACTACATGATTGTATATCTAGAAAACCCTATTGTCTTAGCCCAAAATCTCCTTAAGCTGATAAGCAACTTCAGCAAAGTCTCAGGATACAAAATCAATGTACAAAAATCACAAGCATTCTTATACATCAATAACAGACCAACAGACAGCCAAATCATGAGTGAACTCCCATTCACAATTGCTTCAAAGAGAATAAAATACCTAGGAATCCACCTTACAAGGGACCTGAAGGACCCCTTCAAGGAGAACTACAAACCACTGCTCAATGAAATAAAAGAGGATACAAACAAATGGAAGAACATTCCCTGCTCATGGGTAGGAAGAATCAATATCGTGAAAATGGCCATACTGCCCAAGGTAATTTATAGATTCAGTGCCATCCCCATCAAGCTACCAATGACTTTCTTCACAGAATTGGAAAAAACTACTTTAAAGTTCATATGGAAACAAAAAAGAGCCTGCATCACCAAGTCAATCCTAAGCCAAAAGAACAAAGCTGGAGGCATCACACTACCTGACTTCAAACTATACTACAAGGCTACAGTAACCAAAACAGGATGGTACTGGTACCAAAACAGAGATATAAATCAATGGAACAGAACAGAGCCTTGAGAAATAACACCGCATATCTACAACTATCTGATCTTTGACAAACCTGACAAAAACAAGCAATGGGGAAAGGATTCCCTATTTAATAAATGGTGCTGGGAAAACTGGCCAGCCATATGTAGAAAGCTGAAACTGGATCCCTTCTTTACACCTTATACAAAAATCAATTCAAGATGGATTAAGGACTTAAATATTAGACCTAAAACCATAAAAACCCTAGAAGAAAACCTAGGCAATAGCATTCAGGGCTTAGGCATGGGCAAGGACTTCATGTCTAAAACACCAAAAGCAATGGCAACAAAAGCCAAAATTGACAAATGGGATCTAATTAAACTAAAGAGCTTCTGCACAGCAAAAGAAACTACCATCAGAGTGAACAGGCAACCCACAAAATGGGAGAAAATTTTCACAACCTACTCATCTGACAAAGGGCTAATATCCAGAATCTACAATGAACTCAAACAAATTTACAAGAAAAAAACAAACAACCCCATCAAAAAGTGGGCAAAGGACATGAACAGACACTTCTCAAAAGAAGACATTTATGCAGCCAAAAAAACACATGAAAAAATGCTCGCCATCACTGGCCATCAGAGAAATGCAAATCAAAACCACAATGAGATACCATCTCACACCAGTTAGAATGGCAATCATTAAAAAGTCAGGAAACAACAGGTGGTGGAGAGGATGTGGAGAAATAGGAACACTTTTACACTGTTGGTGGGACTGTAAACTAGTTCAACCATTGTGGAAGTCAGTGTGGCGATTCCTCAGGGATCTAGAACTAGAAATACCATTTGACCCAGCCATCCCATTACTGGGTATATACCCAAAGGACTATAAATCATGCTGCTATAAAGACACATGCACACGTATGTTTATTGTGGCACTATTCACAATAGCAAAGACTTGGAACCAACCCAAATGTCCAACAATGATAGACTGGATTAAGAAAATGTGGCACATATACACCATGGAGTACTATGCAGCCATAAAAAATGATGAGTTCATGTCCTTTGTAGGGACATGGATGAAATTGGAAATCATCATTCTCAGTAAACTATTGCAAGAACAAAAAACCAAATACTGCATATTCTCACTCATAGGTGGGAACTGAACAATGGGAACACATGGACACAGGAAGGGGAATATCACACTCTGGGGAATGTTGCAGGGTAGGGGGAGGGGGGACGGATAGCATTGGGAGATATACCTAATGCTAAATGACGAGGTAGTGGGTGCAGCGCACCAGCATGTCACATGGATACATATGTAACTAACCTGCACATTGTGCACATGTACCCTAAAACTTATAATAATAAAAAAAAAAAATAAAAATAAAATTATTTTATAACTATTATTTTCTGCATAATTGAAAGGCTATTTTAGAATGTGGTTTATGTCAAAGCTAGTTTGGAAACATCCCTATAGGAATATGATACTAATAGAAGTGTAAGGTAAGGATACATATATGTACATAAACATACACACACTCTCTCTCTCATACACACATATACATCCAATACTATCTAGTAGAATACTCCATCACTAAAAAAAAGTATTTTTTACATTTAAATGTGTTTTGCTCTCTCCCACCTCTCTCTCTTTCTCTCTCTCTATATATATTATCTCCACTTAATCAAAGTGGAGAGATTGACCTTTTTTGAATGGCAAAATAACTTTGAGATAGAACTTTATATTTTGAGCTTCTTAAGACAAGAACTAGGTATTACTCATCCTGCATACTCCCTGGCTCATATGTATTTATGAATGAATGAATGAATGAATGAATAAATAAATAAATAAATAAATAAATAATTCAGTAAATCAATAAGTGAATACATGAATAGGAGAATGAAAGGCAAAACGTTAAATGGTGAAAACCACAAAAGGAACACAGCAGTGACCACATCTGTCATTCCTTTCTCACCAGTTGTTTTCCTTTAGCTAGTTAGACAGGGAGATCCTGGGGAGATATATTTTTAGAATGCTGAGAAACTATTTATTAAGCAAGAAACACCTTATCTGTTAAAAGACGGTAGTGGTAGTTGGCAGCCTTGAGAGAAGCTTGGTTTACTTTAATACCTTGAATCGGCAGGCCACTGAAAAACAAATCTAAACACACATTCACAGACCAAATTTAAAGTTTGCAAAAGGACTGGTTAAGGAATAATGATTACACTTGCAATTATTTCTTTTTAATGTGTCCTATACTATGAGCTTTAAGATGTCAGGAAAACACTTCACCACTCTATCCTTCGTACCGAGCTCACACCTTGCAAATACTATTTGTGCTTTAATAAGATTTTGCTGATGAATATATTACTGAATTAATGATACTGAAAAGAGGTGTTAAGAATGAGGCAAAATTAGTTATGGGTAGAGGCTGATAGAGAAAATAACTGATAGAAGTAAATTAAAAATTGCATAGAAAGGAAGGAAAGACGTTGCATGGATATGAAGAAAGGGTGAGAAGGGATTACAGACTCTTACAGAAACTGAACAGCATGAGAGACAGGAAGGGGTATTTGTTTAAAGGTTTGGTAATACTGTGTGTGAGTTTATTTTCTCTAATGAAAAAATGTTTAAGCAATTTGGGAGAAATGAAATTTTAAAAATTACAACAAACGCAAATTATGTATTATGTTTCTCTGCAGACCTCATAAAAGAGCCATTTACTCTTGCATGTTCTCTAAATGTTTATAAGAGAGAATGGTTTATGGGCATACTGATTCTTTAGATTTCCTTCCCATCTCTGACTCTTGACTAATTATCTTAAAAACAAAAAGTTTCTACACTTGGAAAACTAAAAAGGTCTTTCTATGGCTGGGGCTTTTTGATTTGAATATAGGGGTTCTGGGTTGATTACTCTGTCTCAGAATTAAAATAATTGAAAAAGCCATTAAAAAGGCAATTAGATTTCAAATAAAGGCAATACAAATTACCCCTCAGTTTCTTCAACATCCAATAAACCTGTCAGTCTCTTGGCTTAACTCACCAAAAATTAGTCAGTGGAGGCACCATAGAACATCTGGTGATGGCAGGTATCATATTAGGGCCAAAGAAAATAGGGCTGTCTCCTTCTATGATGAACAATTCCCCCCCCCCATGTTTATAGCTTTATAGAAAATGGATATTATTATCCTTATTATATACAATAAGAATAAAAATAAGTAAAGACATAGGGCTTAAAAGATATTGCACTGATGTCCTTGTTTAGCAAATTAGGACATTAAGGAGAAATACAGAATTGGGGTTCAGGAAACTACTCAAAGACAGAAAACTGAGGACTCCTGACTCCTTATGTAGCACTTTTTTACTCCAGGATGTACATTTTAAAAAGATAGTTGATTATGTTGATGATAAAAAGAAGGATATGGTTGAAGTCTAAATCCTTGAATAGCCTAGAAAAGGCCATTTATTGGATATTCTAGTTTTATGAAAGCAAAGTCTGGTTCATCACTGTATTTACACTTGTTTGCACAGAATCTGGCACTTGGTAGGTGCCCAATACATATTTATTTTTAATTGAGGTATAATTTACATACAACAACATGCACAGGTTTTAAGTATTGTTTGATAAATCTTAACAATTTTATGTATGCATGTAGCCATGTACAGAATACAAATATTCAGTATATGAGTCCTTTGTCAGATATCTGTGTTAGGAAAAATTTTTCCAATCTGTGGCATGCCTATTCTTTTTCTTAATGATGTCATCTACACCACCCCAGAAAATTTCTTCATGCCTCTTTTATGACAATTTTCCCTTCATTCTGCCCACTCACAGAGTTGATCACTTTCTGATTTCTTTCTTTTTATTTAACTTTTATTTTTGGTTTGGGGATACCTATGAAGGTTTGTTACATAGGTAAACACATGTCACAGGGGTTTGTTGTACATATTATTTCATCACCCAGGTATCAAGTACAGTACCTAATAGTTATCTTTCCTGGTCCTCTCCATCTTCTTACCCTCCCCATTCAAGTAGATACCAGTGTCTGTTGTTTCCTTCTTTGTGTTCATAAGTTCTTGTCATTTAGGTCCCACTTATAAATGAGAACATGTGGTATTTGGTTTACAGTTCCTGCAATAATTTGCTAAGGATGATAGCCTCCATCTCCATCCAAGTTCCAACAAAAGACATGATCTTGTTCTTTTTTATGGCTGCATAGTATTCCATGGTGTATATGTACCATATTTTCTTTCTCCAATGAAAATGGATGGACATTTAGGTTAATTCCGTGATTTTGCTATCATGAATAGGGCTGCAACAAACATTTGAATTCATATGTCTTTATGGTAGAATAATTTATATTTGTCTGAGTATATATCCAGTAATGGGATTACTGGGTTGAATGGTAGTTCTGCTTTTAGGTCTTTGAAGAATTGCCATACTGCTTTCCACAATTATTGAACTAATTTAAACTCCCACCAGCAGTGTATAAGTACTCCCTTTTCTCGGCAACTTCACCAGCATCTGTTATTTTTTGACTTTTTTTTTTTTTTTTTTTTTGAGACGGAGTCTAGCTCTGTTGCCCAGGCTAGAGTGCAGTGAAGTGATCTTGGCTCACTGCAACCTCCACCTCCGGGTTCAAGCAATTCTCCTGCCTCTGCCTCCCAAGTAGCTGAGATTACAGGTGCCCACCACCACGCCCAGCTAATTTTTGTATTTTTAGTAGAGACAGGGTTTCACTGTGTTAGCCAGGCTGGTCTCAAACTCCTGACCTCATGACCCACTCACCTAGGCCTCCCAAAGTGCTGGGATTACAGGTGTGAGCCACTGTGCCCAGCCTATTTTTTGACTTTTTAACAGCCGTTCTGACTGGTGTGAGATGGTATCACATTGTGGTTTTGATTTGCATTTCTCTAATGATTAGTGACATTGAGCTTTTTTTCATATGCTTATTGGCCACGTGTATATCTTCTTTTGAGAACTGTCTGATCAAGTTCATTTTTTAATGGGGTTGTTTGTTTTTCTCTTGTAAATTTGTTTAAGTTCCTTGTAGAGGCTGGATATTAGAACTTTATGAGATGCATTGCTTGCAAAAATTTTCTCTTATTCTGTAGGTTGTCTGTTTACTCTGTTGGTAATTTCTTTTGCTTGGCAAAAGCTAAGTTTAATTAGATCCCATTTGTCAATTTTTGCTTTTATTGTGCTTGCTTTTGATGTCCTGTCATGAAATCTTTGCCCACTCCTATGTCCAGAATGGTATTGCCTAGGTTGTCTTCTACAGTTCTTAGAATTTTGGGTTTTACATTTAAGTATTGAATCCCTTTTGAGTTGATTTTTGTATATGATATAAGGAAGGAATCCAGTTTCAATCTTCTATGTATGGCTAGCCAGTTATCCTAGCACATTTATCTAGTTATACCTGGATGAATGGTATCCTAGTAGCATTTATTGAATAGGGAATCTTATCCCCATTGCTTGTTTTTTCAGTTTTGTCAAAGAACAGATGGTCATAGATGTTTGGCCTTATTTCTGGGCTTTTTATTCTGTCCTATTGGTTTAAGTGACTGTTTTTGTACCAGTAGCATGCTGTTTTCATTACTATAGCCTTGTAGTATAGTTTGAAGTCAAGTAATGTGATGCCTCCAGCTTTGTTCTTTTTGTTTAGAATTGTCTTGGCTATTCAAGCTCTTGTTGGTTCCATATGAATTTTAAAATAGTTTTTTTCTATTTCTGTGAAGAATGTCTTTGGTAATTTGATAGAAATAGCATCAAATCTGTAAATTGTTTCAGGCAGTGTAGCCATTTAAATAATACTGATTCTTCCTATCTGTGAGCATGGGATGTTTTTCCATTTATTTGTGTCTTCTTTCATTTATTTGAGCAGTGTTTATGATTCTCATTTTAGAGATCTTTCATCTCCCTGGCTAGCTGTATTCCTAGATATTTTATTCTTTTTGTAGCATTTGTGAATGAGATTGCCTTTCTGATTTGGCATTCAGTTTGGCTGTTGTGGGTGTATAAAAATACTAGGGACTTTTGCATGTTGATTTTGCATCCTGTAGCTTTGCTGAAGTTGTTTATCAGATCATGGAGGTTTGGGGCCCAGGCTGTGGGGTTTTCTGGATATAGAATCATGTTGTCTGCCAAAAGAGATAGTTTGACTTCCTCTCTTCCCATTTAGATGCCTTTATTTTTTTCTCTTGCCTTATTGTTCTGGCTAGGACTTTCAATACTGTAATGAATAGGAGTAGTGAGAGGGCATCCTTGTCTTGTGCCAGTTTTTTTGTGTCTCATTTTCCTTCAGTTCAGCTTCATTTTTGTTATTTCTCTTCCTCTGCTAGCTTTGGAGTTGATTTGTTCTTGCTTCTCTAATTTTTTCAGTTGTGAAGTTGTTATTAATTTGAGATCTTTCTAACTTTTTGATGTGGGCATTTAGTGCTATGAATTTCTCTCTTAATGCTGCCTAAGCAGTGCTCCAGAGATTCTAGTTGTATCTTTGTTCTCATTATTTTCAAAGAACTTCTTGATTTCTGCCTTAATTTCATTATTTACCCAAAAGTCATTCAGAAGCCTGTTGTTTAATTTCCATGTAGTTTCATGGTTTTGAGAACTTTTCATTGTCTTGACTTCTATTTTTATTGCACTGTGGTCTCAGAGTGTGTTTGGTATGATTTTGATTATTTTACATTTGATGGGGATTGTTTTATGTCCAATTATGTGGTCATTTGTAGAGTATGTGTCATGTGTCAATGAGAATAATGTATATTCTGTTGTTTTGGGGTGGAGAGTTCTGTAAAGGTCTATCAGATTCACTTGGTCCAATATTGAGTTCAGGTTCTAAATATCTTTGTGAATTTCCTACCTTAATGATTTGTCTGATACTGTCAGTGGAGTGTTAAAATCTCCCACTATTATTGTGTGGGAGTCTAAATTTCTTTGTAGGTCTATAAGAACTTGCTTTATGAATCTGGGAGCTCCTGTGCTAGATGCATATTTATTTAGGATAGTTAGGTCTTCTTGTTGAATTGAACCCTTTACCATTATGTAATGCTCATCTTTTTCATGTGTGTGTGATCTTTGATGGTCTGAAATCTGTTTCTTCTGAAATCAGGATTGCCACCCCTGATTTTTTTATGTTTTCCATTTACTTGGTAGATGTTCTTCAGTTCATTGAGCCTATGAGTGTCATTATGTGTGAGACAGGTCTCCTGAAGACAGCATACCATTTGGTATTGTTTTTTAATCCAATTTGCCACTCTATGCCTTTTAAGTGGGGCTTTTAGCCTGTTTACATTCAATGTTTGTATTTATATGTGTGGATTTGATCTTGTCATTGTGTTGTTAGCTGGTTATTAGGCTGGCTTGTTTATGTGATTGCTTTATAGTGTCACTGACTTGTGTATTTGTGTTTTTGTACTAGCGGGTAGTGGTCTTTCCTTTCTATATTTAGTGCTTCTTTCAAAGATCTCTTGTAAAGCAGGTCTGGTGGTAACAAACTCTCTCAAGATTTGCTTATCCAAAAAGGATTTTATTTCTTCTTCACTTAGGAAGCTTAGTGTGGCTGGATATGAAATTCTTGGTTGAAGATTTTTTTTTTCTTTTTTTGAGAAAGAGTCTCACTCTGTTGCCCAGGCTGGAGTGCACTGGTGTGATCTTGGCTCACCTAAACCTCTGCCTCCTGGATTCAAGCAATTCTTCTGCCTCAGCCTCCCAAGTAGCTGGGATTACAGGCACATGCCACTACACACAGCAAATTTTTGTATTTTTAGTAGAGATGGGGTTTCACCATGTTGGCCAGACTAGTCTGGAACTACTGACCTCAGGTGATCTGTGTGTCTTGGTCTTCCAACGTGCTGGGATTATAGGCATGAACCAACCCCCCCACACACCCCCTGCCCCTGCCAAAGATTTTTTTTTTTTTTCTTTAACAGTGTTGAATGTAGGGCCCCAATCTCTTCTGGTTTGTAGGTTTCTGCTGAGAGTCTGCTGTTAGGCTGATGGGGTTCTATTTCAAGGTGATCTGCCTTTTCTGCCTAGCTGCCTTTAACATACTTTCTTTCATTTCATTTGTGGAAAATCTGATGATTATTTGACTTAGGGATGATCTTCTTGTGTAGAAACTTGTAGGAGTTCTTTGTGTTTCCTGAATTTGACTTTTATCCTCTCTAGCAAGGTTGGGGAAGATTTCATAAGTGATATCCAGAAATATGTTTTCCAAGTTATTTGCTTTCTCCCATTCCCCTTTTTAGAGATGCCAATCATTCATGGATTTGGCCTCTTTACATAATCCCATACTTCTCGGAGGTTTTATTTACTACTTTTTTTTCTTTCTTTTTGTCTGATTGTCTTATTTCAGAGAACCAGTCTTCAAGTTCTGAGCTTCTTTTTTTCAGCTTTTTCTATTCTGCTGTTAATACATGTGATTGCACTGTGAAATTCTTGTATTGTGTTATTCAGCTCTGTCAAACCCATTATGTTCTCTTTTTTTACTGGCTATTTTGTCCTTCAGCTTTTGTCACTTTTTTGTGATTCTTATTTTCTTTGGATTGGGTTTTGCATCCTCCTGAATCTTTATGATGTTTGTTTCTATCCATATTCTGAATTCTATTTCTGTTATTCCAGCCAGTTCAGCCTTGTTAAAAAAAAAAAAAAAAAAAAAAAACTCTTGTTGGAGAATTGGTGCAGTCATTTGGAGGACATATGACGCTCAGGCTGTTTAAATAACCAGAGTTCTTGTGTTAGTTCTTTCTGATCTCTGCGTGTGGGGTATTCCCTTAACTGCAGTGTAGATCGAGTACAGTCAATAGACTTCTTTTCTAGATGTTTTTTATTGGTCCAAGGCTTTGTAGAGTATATTTATTTAAAGCTGACTTCTCATCTCTGCTTTCAGAGGGGAGTCTGTTAGTTAGGTATTTTGCTGCTGAAGCTTTGGGGTGTGATCCAGCAGATGGCAATTAGGCTTACTGGTCAGTTGGTAGACTCTTGCTTGGTTGTGTGGCTCCCTTGTGGTTCCTCACAGTTACAGACATTTTCTCTCTAAATGGTCAGAAAGTGAGGGTTACTGTCTTTGTTGAGTGCTGGCTGTAGTCTGTGACTTGGCACTTCTGGGCTGCCCACTGACTCTCTGGGGCAATCTCAGTGTTTATGTTCCTTCTCTAACTTGGAGGCAACAGAGGAAGGGATCTTAGTAGTGGTAATGGCCAAGGGTTGTTTGTTTGTCTCTTGGGGACTCTACTCCAGAGAGATACAGATCAGTATTCACTCAGTGCAATCAGCCCAGGGTGGAGGGTCTGTGCTGTGGGCCCGAGCAAGGGGTTCCCTGTCTGGTGACAAGCACTTCAGAGTGTTTGGACCCTGTAGGAGATGGACTGGCCTCCTCTCCTTGGGTCAACTGCAGATTGTTGTAGGTGTGAATAAGGCAATTTGGATTTTTGCTCCTTCATTAGTCCAAGGGTGGCAAGAGCAGTTCCACTACAGAGGGAGTGGTGGCAGAGAGGCTTTCAGTTGCCCCTGGAGTCTCTGTCCAGGGAGTTGCTGAGTTGCTACTGGCTCAATAACTCTGGTGAGGACTGGTGGGAGGCCCAAGCCTGGAGGACCTGCCCAGTGAGGAGATATAGGAATAGGTACCTGCATAACAGTCTGGCCACCGTTCCATAGGGCTGTTCCATATGGCTACTGCCATATGCTTGGGGCCTGCTCCAGTCACTAGTCACCTCAAATTTTCCAGTATCTGGAGGTATCACTGGTGAAGTCTGCAAAACAGCAAAGATGGCAGCCTGTCCCTCCTTCTGGGAGCTTTGTTCCAGGGAGGTATGGGCATGTTGCTGGCCCAAAGGTACCTGTAGGAGGTGGCTGGAGACCCCACTTGGAAGGTCCCGCCCAGTGAGGAGGAACACCATTGGGAACCTGCTTAAAAAAGAAGAGCAGTTGTGCTGTGTCCACTTCAGCCCCGGTTGCCTCAGACACTTTGAAGCTGGAAGGCTGGAACAGCTATGTCCCCCAAAAAGTAAAAATGGTGGCATGCCCCTCCCTCTAGGAGCTGTATCCAAGGGAGGTTACAAATCTCTGTGAGCCAGAGAACACCAAGGGAGGTAATTAAAAAATGTCCTTGATTAGTTCCAGTGTGATTATTACCTGGATGTTTCAGCTGAAGATGTTGTATTTATTTGCCCCTTCCGTTCCTCTCCATGAGAGCCATACACACTAGCTGCTTCTAGTTGTCCATCTTTCCACCTGATTTCTTTCACCATAAATTAATTTTGTCTATTCCTGGCAGTTATATAAATAAAATAAATCAGCAAATACGTTTTTATTTGCTGTTTCTTTTACTCCTCATAATGTTTTTGAAATTTATTCATGTTATTGCCTTTATCAGTTATTTCTCTCTTTATATTACGCAGTAGCATTATATTGTGTGACTATGACATTTTGCTTCTTCATTCTCCCATTGATGAATATTTGTGTTATTTACTTTTGGGGACAATTATGACTATAAAGATTGCTAAAATATTCTTTTGTAAAATGTTTTTGGACATTTGGGGCACATTTTCATCCACTTATTAGCCATTTATATTTCTTCTTTGTGAAATAGCTGCCTAATTGTTTTACCCATTTTGTAATCAGGTTGAATTTTTATTACTGATTTGTAGTAATTCTCTATATATTCTGGATATAATTTCTTTTCAAATATATGTGCTATGAAAACTTTCTCCTAATGTTTTTTGCCTATTGATTTTCTTGAAAATGTTTCTTTTAGTGAGCAGCACATTTTAATTTTGATGAATTTCATATTTCTTTCTTTTAGGATTACTGATTCCGTACCCTTTTGAAAACTCTTTTCATGCCCCCAAATTTACAAAGATATTATTCTTATTTTTCCTCTATGCATCGTGGTGCTAGGTTTTATATTTAAGTCTAAGATTCATCTAATTTTTAAAATCCAAATATAAGGGTTGAGTTGTTCCAGCACCATTTATTAAAAAGGCTTTCCTTTCCTTCAATAAGTGAACTCAATGCCTTGTCTGAAGATTAGTTGACACTATATGTATTGTCTGTTTCTGGACTCTATTCTGTTCTACCGATCCATAGATTATATATTTAAGCTAATTATTATACTGACTTACTATAACCTATAGTAAGTCTTGAAGTTAGGTAATGTTGAGTCCTCTAACTTTAAATATATATATGATTTTGGCTATTCTAGATCCTTCATATTTCCACCCGAATTTTAGAATCGGCTTGCCAATGACTTTAAAATGGGCTCTTTGCAACATGATAGATACCATATTGAATATATAGGTCAATTTGGGGAGAACAGACCACTTTAAAACTCTATGTTTTGTCAATGAACATAAGCGTGGGTCTCTATTTATTTGCGTTATTTAATTTTCTCAGAAATGTTTTGTAGTTTTCACTGCGAAAATCTTGCATATTTTCAATAAATTATTGCCTATATATTTAATATTCTTTGACAGCATTGTAAATGATATTTTAAATTTTGTTTTCTAATTTTTTATCATTTGTATCTAAAATTGCTCTTGATTTTTGTGAATTAACTTTGAGTCCTTAAATCTTACAAAATGTACTTAGCAGTTCTTGTCTTTTTGAAGATTCCATGTGATTTTCTACATATATAATAATTTTGCCTACAAATAACACAGTTCTACTTTTCCTGTCGTATTGCACAAGAGAGAAACAACAGGAAAATATTAAACATAAATGATGAACCAAGATGTTTTTGCTTTGTTTAGGAAAGAAAAAAGGAAAGCATAAAATATTTTACAATTAAAAATGTTAGCTATAGGGTTTCTGAGGATGTTTTTTATTAGGTTAAAGAGAGTTCCTTCTATTCTTAATTTGCTGAGTTTTTATTCAGAATGTATATTCCATTTTGTCAGATATTATTTTCTACATCAATTGAGTTGATTATATGGCCTTTCTCCTTTATTCTAACGTATGGTGAATTACTTTAATTGCATTTTCAAAATGTTCAAGCACATTTGCATACCCATGATAAAATCCATCTGTTCAGGATGCATCACTCTGTGTGTGTGTGTGTGTGTGTGTGTGTGTGTGTACCCTCAATTTGTCTCTATGTTGTTAAAGAATTTGTATCTGTGATGATAATATATACTGGTCTATATTTTTTTCTTGTAATATCTTTGCCAGGTTTTGGCATCAGACTTATACTGGTCATACAAAAAAGATGGAGTAGTGTTTCTTCCTATTTCACTTTTCGAAATAATTTGTGTAGAGTTGGGATTATTTATTACTTAAATATTTTATAAAATTTCAGTAAAGCCATCTGAGCCTTGAGTAACTTTGTAGGAAGCTGTTTAGTATAAACTCAATTACTTTTGTAATTATGGGGTTATTTAGCTGTCCTATTACTTATGTCACTTTAGTTAAGTGTGCTGTTTATACTTTTGGTTCACTTCATCAAACTTGTGGAATGTATTGGCATAAAATTGTTCATTATTATTATTATTATTTTATTTCCTGTAGAATCTCTGGTGATGTCCCCTTCTTGTTCTTGATGTTGGCAATTTGTTTTTTCTCTCTTTTCTCTTGATCACCTTTCCTAGAAGTCTGTCAAGTTTATTAATCTTTTTAATTATCCCACTTTTGACGTTTTGGTTTTGGGTTGCTTGTTTTATATATTACTGATTTTGGCTTTTATCTTCATTGTTTCCTTTTTCCGTGTACTTTGGATTAATTCATTCCGCTTTGTCTAGATTCTTAAGTTAGAAGCTTTGATCATTTATTTTCTAATATAAGCATTTCAAACTATAAACTTCCTTCTAGTCTACCTTTAACTGAATTCCACAAATATTGATAGCTTTTTATTATTTCATAGTATTTTCTAATTTCCCTTACTAATTATTCATTGACTCATAGGTTATTTAGAAATTTTTAGTTACATTCCAAATATTTGAGGATTATATATATATATTTATTAATTTCTAATTTGATACACTTGTGTCCAGAGAATATATTCTTTATAATTTTAATCCTTTAATATTTTGAAAAATTTTTATGGCCTGGTATGTAGTCTATTATGGTTAATAATTTATGTGCACATGCAAAGACCATGTACAGTTGCTGCTGTAGTGTTATACACACACAGTTGTTTAGTAATGTGTTATATAAGATCTCTGATTATAAAGGTAGATTGCATCTCCATTTGGTCTATCAGGTTTCACCCTACATATTTTGAAATCCTATTTTGGGTGCATATACACTTATAATTGTTATGATTTTCTGATGAATCAATCTTTTCATAATTGTAAAATGTTCTTCTTTTTCTCTAGTGATGTTCTTTGTCTTGAAGTCCATTTTGTTTGATATTACTATAGCCACACCAGATTTCTTAGTCTTACTGTATATGGTATATTTCACACAACGAATCATGATCTGAACATTAAGATTTTTTATCTTAGTGTTTAAGTGGCATATTTTCATTTTTTGTTGTTAATTTTTCTTTATTCCTTTTTCTCTCTGTTGCTTTTATATGTATTTATTAATCTTTAATTTTAATTTTAGGTTCAGGTATATGTGCAGGATTGTTATGTAGGTAAACATGTTTCACAGGGGTTTAGAATACAGATTATTTCATCAACCAGGTCCTGATCCTGGTACCCAATAGTTATTTTTTCTGATAGTCTCCTTCCTCCCACCCTCCACCCTCAAGTAGGCCCCAGTATGTGCTGCTTTCCTCTTTGCATTCATGTGTTCTCATTTAGTTCCCACTTATAAGTGAGAACATGCAATATTTGGTTTTCTGTTCCTGCATTAGTTTGCTAAGGATAATGGTGTCTAGCTCCCTCTATGTTCCTGCAAAAGACATTATCTCATTCTTTTTATGGCAGCATAGTATTCCATATTGTGTGTATGTACCACAATTTCTTTATCCATTCTGCTATTGGTAGGCATTTAGGCTGATTACATGTCTTTGCTATTGTGAATAATGCTGCAATGAAAATACATGTGCATGTGTCTTCATGATAGAATGATTTATATTTCTTTGTGTATATACGCAACAATAGAATTGCTGGGTCAAATGGTATTTCTGTTTTTAGCTTTTTAAGGAATCAACACACTGCTTTCCACAGTGGTTGAACTAATTTGCACTCTCACCAACAATGAATAAGTTTTCCTTTTACTGTAAAACCTGGTCAGCATCTGTTAATTTTTAACTTTTTAGTAATAGCCACTCTGACTGGTGTGAGATGGTATCTCCTTGTGGTTTTGATTTGCATTTCTCTAATGATCAATATATTGAACTTTTTTCGCATGTGCTTCTTGTCCACATGCATGTCTTCTTTTGAAAACTGTCTGTTCATGTCCTTTGCCCACTGTTTAAAAAGTTGTTTGTTTTTCCTTGCAAATTTGTTTACATTCTTTATAGACACTACATGTTAGAACTTTGTAAGAGGCATACTTTGCAAAAATTTTCTCCCATTCTATAGGTTGTCTATTGATATTAATGTTTTCTTTTGCAGGGCAGAAGCTTTTAAGCTTAATTAAATGCCACTTACCAAGTTTTGCTTTTGCTGTGATTATTTTGGCATCTTCGTCATGAAATTTTTGCCCATTCCTATGTCGAGAATGATGTTACCTAGCTGGTCTACCATGGTTTTTATAGTTTTGGGTTTTACATTTAAGTCTTTAATCGATCTTGAATTGATTTTTGTATACAGTATAAGGAACGAGTCCAGTTTTAATCTTCTGCATACAGCTAACCAGTTATCCCAGCACCATTTATTGAGTAGTGAGTCTCTTCCCTATTGCTTGTTTTTGTCAGCTTTCTTGAAAATCAAATGGTTGTGGATGTGGAGCTTAATTTCTGGGCTCTTTATTCTGTTCCACTGACTATGTGTTTGTTTTTGTACAAGTACCATGCTGTTTTCTTGCTGTAGCACTGTAGTGTAGTTTGAAGTTGTGTAATGTGATGCCTCCAGCTTTGTTTTATTTGCTTAGGATTGCCTTGCTATTCAGGATCTTTTTGGGTTCCATATGAATTTTAAAATAGTTTTTATCTACTCCTTTGAAGCATGTCATTGATAGTTTGATAGAAATAGCATTAAATCTGTAAATGGCTTTGGGCAATATGGCTGTTTTAATGATACTGATTCCTCCTTTCCATGAGCATACAATGTTTGTCCCTTTGTTTGTGTTGTCTGTGATTTCTTTGAGCAGTGTTTTTGTAAGTTCTCATTTTAGAGATCTTTTACCTCCCTGGCTAGCTCTATTCTTAGGATTTTATTCTTTTTGCAGCATTTGTGAATGGGATTGTGCTTCTGATTTGGCTCTCAGCTTGGATGTTGTTGGTGTATAGAAATTCTACTGATTTTTGGTATGTTGATTTTGTATCCTGAAACTTTGCTAAAGTTGTTTATCAGATCAAGCAGCTTTTGGGTAGAGACTATGGGTTTCTAGATATAGAATGATGTCATCTACAAATAGTTTTACTTATTTTCTTCCTATTTGGATGTGCTTTTTTCTCTTGCCTGATTGCTCTGGCCAGGACTTTCAATAGTATGTTGAATAGGAGTGATGAGAGAGAGCATCCTTGTCTTGTGCCGGTTCTCAGTGGGAATCTTTCCAGTCTTTGCCCATTCAGTGTGATGTTGGCTGTATGTTTGTCATAAATGGTCTTATTATTTTGAGGTGTGTTCTTTCAATGGCTAGTTTATTGAGAGGGTTTAACATGAAATGATGTTGAATTTTATCAAAAGCCTTTTCTGCATCTATTGAGATAATCATGTGGTTTTTGTCTTTAGTTCTGTTTATGTGATGAGTCACATTTATTAATTTGTTTATGTTGAACAAACCTTGAATCCCACTGAAAAAGCCTACTTGATCGTGATAGATCAGCTTTGTGTTGTACTGCTGGATTCAGTTTGCAACTATTTTGTTCAGGATTTTTGCATCAATGTTCATCAAGAATATTGGGCTGAAGTTTTCTTCTTTGTTATGTCTCTGCCAGGTTTTGGTATCAAAATCATTATGGCTTCATAGAATTAGCTGGGAAGGAGTCCTTCCTCCTTGATTTTTTGGAATAGTTTCAGTAGGAATAGTATCAGCAATTATTTATACATCTGGTAAAATTCATCTGTGAAACCGTCTAGTTTGGGCTTTTTATGGTTGGTAGGCTATTCATTACTGATTCGATTTTAGGTCTCATTATTTGTCTGTTCAGTAAATCAATTTCTTCCTGGTTCAGTCTTGAGAGGGTGTATGTGTTCAGAAATTTATCCATCTCTTCTAAGTTTTCTACTTTGTGTGCATAGAGGTGTTCATAACACATTTTGAGGGTTGTTTTTATTTCTGTGGGGTCAGTGGTTACATCCCCTTTGTCATTTCTAATTGTGTTTATTTGGATCTTCTCTCTTTTCGTCTTTATTGGTCTAGCTAGTGGCCTATCTATCCTATTAATTTTTTCAAAAAACCAACATGTGGATTCTTTGATTTCTTTTTTTTTTTTTTTTTTTTTTTTTTTTTGAGATGGAGTTTCACTCTTGTTGCCTAGGCTGGAGTGCAATGTCATGATCTCGGCTCACTGCAACCTCCACCTCCCGGGTTCAAGCAATTCTCCTCTCTCAGCCTCCTGAGTAGCTGGGATTACAGCTGCCTGCCACCACGCCCAGCAAATTTTTGTATGTTTTAGTAGAGATGGGCTTTCACCAGGTTGGCCAGGCTGGTCCTGAACTCCTGACCTCAGGTAATCCACCCATCTCGGCCTCCCAAAGTTCTGGGATTACAGGTGCAGGGCCTCATTGATATTTTTAATGTTTTTTTTTTTTTTTTTCTCTTGATCTCTTTTAGTTCAGTACTGATTTTGATTATTTTTTGTCTTCTGCTTGATTTGGGGTTGGTTCGCTTTTGATTCTCCTATTCACAAAAGTTGAATGTTCAACTTTCCTATTCAACTAAAAGTTGTGATGTTAGGTTGTTCATGTAAAACAGTCCTAGTTCTTTGATGTGGGCATTTAGTGCTATACATTTCTTTTTTACCACTGCCTTAGCTGTGTCCCACAGATTCTGGTATGTTGTATCTTTGTTCTCATTAGTTTCAAAAAACTTCTTGATTTCTGCCTTAATTTTATTGTTTACCCAAAAGTCATTCAGGAGCAGTTTGATTAATTTCCATGTAATTGCATGGTTTTGAGTGATCTTTTTTCAGTCTTGATTTTTATTTTTATTGTACTGTGCCTGAGAGTGTGTTTGGTATGGTCTTGGTTCTTTCGCATTTGATGAGGATTGTTTTATATCTGATTGTGGTTGATTTCAAACCATGTGTCAATGAGAAGAATGTATATTCTGTTATTTAGAGTGCAGAGTTCTGTGGAGGTCTATCAGATCCATTTGGTTCAATATTGAGTTCAAGTCCTGAGTATCTTTGTTAATTTTCTGCCTTTATGATCTGCCTAATACTGTCAGTGGAGTGTTGAAGTCTCCCACTATTATTATGTGGGAGTCTAAGTTTCTTTGTAGCTTTCTAACAACTTGCTCTATGAATCTGGGTGCTCCTGTGCTGGGTGTAGATATATATATATATGTATGTTTATATATATATTTATAAATGGAAGGTTTATTCATTTCTTTTCATTCTTTTTTATTTATTTTTATCTGTCCTATTTCAGAAAGCTGGTCTTCAAGTTCTATATATATATATTTATACATATATATAATTTTATATATATATAATTATATATATTTATATATAATTATATATATATTTTATATATAATTATATATATATTTATATATATGTATAAATATATGTATTTTTATATATATATTTATATATGTATAAATATATGTATTTTTATATATATATTTATATATGTATAAATATATGTATTTTTATATATATATTTATATATGTATAAATATATGTATTTTTATATATATATTTATATATATAAATATATATATTTATATATATAAATATATATATTTATATATATAAATATATATATATATTTAGGATAATTAGGTCTTTTGTTGAATTGAACCCTTTATCATTATGTAATGTCATTTGTCTTTTTATATCTTTCTTGGTCTAAAGTCTGTTTTGTCTGAAATAAGAATTGCAACCCCTGCTGTTTTCCTGATTTCCATTTGCTTGGTAGATTTTCCTCCCTTTATTTTGAGTCTACGGGTGTCATTGCACACGAAGTGGGTCACCTTAAGACAGCATACTCTTGGGTCTTGCTTTTTTATTCAGCTTGCCACTCTGTGCCTTTAAATGGGGCATTTAGCCCATTTATATTCATTGTTAATATTTATGTGTGGGTTTAATCCTGTCATTGTGTTGTTAGCTGGTTATGTTGGCTTTTTGTGTGGTTGCTTTATAGTGTCATTGGTCTGTGTACTTAATTGTGTTTTTATGTTGGCTAGTAATGGTCTTTCCATATTTATTGTTCCTTTCAAGATCTCTTGTAAGGTGATTCTGGTGGTAACAAACTCCCTCAGCTTTTGCTTATCTGAAAAGAATCTTATTTCTCTTTAGCTTAGAAATCTTACTTTGATTCAGTATGAAATTCTTGGTTGCAGATTTTTTTCTCTTTAAATATGTTGAATAAAGACCCCCAGTGTCTTCTGGCTTGTAGTGTTTCTTCTGAGAGGTCTGCTGTTAGCCTGATGATGTTCTCTTTGTAGGAGACATGCCCTTCCTTTCTAGCTGCCTTTAACATTCTTTGTTTCATTTCAACCTTGGAAAATCTGATGATTATATGTCTTGGGGATGATCTTCTTGTGTAGAATCTTGCAGGGCTTTTCTGTATTTTCTGAATTTCACTGTTGGCCTCTTTAGTGAGGCTGGGGAAGTTTTCAAAGTTGTTTGCTTTTTCCCCCTCCCTTTTAGGGGTGCCAGTGATTCATAGATTTGGCCTCTTTACATAATCGCATATTTCTTGGAAGGTTTATTCATTTATTTTCATTCTTTTGTCTGACTGTCTTATTTCAGAAAGCTGGTCTTCAAGTTCTGAGATTCCTTTTTCAGCTTTTTCTATTCTAATGTTAATATTTGTGACTGCACTGTGAAAATCTTGTACCGTGTTTTTCACTGTATCAGTTCAGTTGGGTTCTTTTTTATACTGGCTATTTTGTCTGTCAGCTCCTTTATCATTTTATTATGATTTTTATTTTTCTTTGATTGGGTTTGGCTATCTTCCTTAATCTTGATGATCTTTGTTCCTATCCACATTCTGAATTGTATTTCTGTCACTTCTGCCAACTCAGCCTGGTTAAAAACCCTTGTTGGAGAAGGAGTGCAGTCATTTAGAGGACATAAGACATTTTGGCCATTTGAGTTGCTAGTCTTCTTGTGCTGGTTCTTTCTCTTCTCTTCATTTACATGTTCCTTTGATTGCTGGGCTGCCTCTGATTCAAGTGGCAAGCTGGAGGCAGAGTGGTTGTGCTGGAGTCTCAGGTCAGGCAGCCCTGCCCAGTGAGGAGAAGTGAGGATGCGACCTGTGTGTAGAACAGTCTGGCCACTTCTCTGTGAGGTGGGTGCTGTGCGTTGAGGGTCTCAACCAGCCTCTGGTCCTCATGGACACTTCAGAGCCTAGAGATAGTAATGAGATGACAAAGATGACAAACTGCACTTCCCGTTGGGAGCTCTGTCTCAGGGAGTTACAGAGGAACTACTGGCTTGATAGCCCCAGCAGGGGGTGGCTGAAGACCCAGGCTGGGAGGACCTGCCAACAAGGAGATACAGGATCAGGACCTACATAACAGTCTGGCCATTTTTCTGTAGGGCTGCTGAAGTATGCTGGGGATCCACACCAGTCCCTAGTCACCTCAAATTTTCCAGGCCCTGAAGGTAACAACAGTGAAGGCTACAAAACAGCAAAGATGGGGACCTGCCTTCCCTCTGGGAACTCTTTCTCAGGAGGTATGAACCTGTTACTGGCCTGAACACACCAGCAGGATGTGGCTGGAGACCCCTGTTGGAAGATCTTGCCCACTGAGGATGAATGGGATCAGGGACCCATGTAAAACAGCAGTCTGACTGCTTTTATGTAGGGCAGCTGTGCTTTCCTGGGGGTCTGCTCCAGCCCCTGGTTGCCTTGGACTCTCTAAAGCCTGAAGGTAACAAGAGCTAATGCGGCTAGATAACAAAGATTGCAGCTCACACCTCCCTTTGGGAGCTCTGTCCCAGGAAGGTTTGAAACTGCTGCTGGCCAGAAAACACTGGTGGGGGTGACTGGACACCCCAGTTGGGTGGTTCCACCCAGTGAGGAAGAATGGCATTGGGGACCCATGTAAAAAAGCTGTCTGGTCACTTTTTTTGTGGAGCAGTTTGTGCTAGGGGTCCACTCCAGCCCCCAGTCGATTTGTACTCTCCAAATCCCAAAGGCAACAATGCCAAAGGCTGAGAGACAGCAAAGATGGTAGCCTGGCCCTCCCTCTGGGAGCTCCATCCCAGGGAGGTTTGACACTGATGCAGATGGAAAACACTGGCAAGGATGGTTGTAGACCTCAGTTGGGAGATTTCTCCCAGGGAAGAGAAACGAGACCCAAGACCCATGTGAGAACGCAGTCCGGCCACTTCTTTGTAGAGCTGCTGCTTTGTGCTGGAGAACTGCCCCAGGACCTAGTCACCTTGGACTCCCTAGAGCCTGCAGGCAACAACAGCTAAGGCTGTGAAACAGCAAAGATGGTGCCCAGTTCCAGGGAATCTCAGAACCACTACCAGCTGGAAAACACCAGTAAGGGTGGTTGGTAACCCTGGTCAGGAAGTCCTACCTAGTGAGGAGAAGCAGGGTCAGGGACCTGCGTAAAAATAGCAGTCTAGCTGCTTTCTGTAGGGTGGCTGGACTGAAGGAAATAATAGCTAAGGCTGCAAAACAGCAAAGATGGCAGCCCACTCCTACCTCTTGGGAGCTTCGTCTCAGGGAGTTGTAACACTGGCTGGCTGGAGTTCCCAGTCAGCAAGTCTTAACCTATGAGGTGCCGTAGAAGCAGAGCCTGCAGACCACAGCTCCTCAGCTCCCTGGATTCAGCCCCTTTCCAAGGGGTTTGTATGGGAGTATAACCTCTTGCTTTGCTTGAGTTGCAGCCACTTTTGCTGGGAATCCCTGGTGTGTAAAGCTCCCTGGGCTCTGCATGTACTTGAGTGACTGCTCTGCCAAGACTCCACATAGTTCTGCATGTCAGACTGCAGGCCTTGGTGGAGTGGGTTCATGAGGGTATCTCCCGACCTAAGGGTTGCAAAGATCCATGGGGGGAGCATGGATCCCTGGGGTTGCTCACTCACTCACCAGTTCCCTGGGCAGGGGAGGCTCCCCTGGTTCCATGTCACTCTCAAGTGGACAGTCCTCCTGCCTTATTTTTCTTCATTTTTCCTGTATCAAGTTGTTTTCTTGATGAATCTCAATGTTTGAACCTGGATGTTTTCATCAAAGTGCTGTATTTACTCACCCCTTCTATTTCTTTCCATGACAGCGGCACACACTAGCTGCTTCTAGTTGGCCATCTTGGCCAGCCTCTGGCATATTTTTCATACATTTACTTTCAACCTGTCATTATTTTTTTTTCAAGACATGGTCTCACTCTGTTGGAGTGCAGTCACATGATCATAGCCTCACTTCAGGCTAAAACTCCTGAGTTCAAACAATCCTCCTGCCTCAGTTTCTCAAGTAGCTAGAACTACACGTGTGTGCAACCACACGTAGCTAATATTTTTATATTTTATTTCTATTTTATTTTTTGTAGAGATGGGGTCTTGCTATATTGCCCAGGCTGGACTCGAACTTCTTGCCTCAAGCAATCCTCCCACCTTGGCCTCCCAAAATGTGGGAATTACAGATGTGAGTCACTGTGCCCGGCCTTAACCTCTGGATTTATACATAGAATGTATTTCTTATAAATAACAGAATTGTTTCTCTTTTTAAATATAATATTATGATCTCTGACCTTTAAATGAAGTGTTTAGTTCATTAACATTCAATGTAATTATTGACATAGTTTGTTTTAAATTTCCTGTCTGTATTTGTTGTTTACTTATTCCATCTGTTATTTGTTTCTCTTTCCTGCCTTCTTCAAAGTAAATCACAGATATGTGAATTCCATTTTAATTCCTATTTTTAATATTTATATATATGCCTTTATGTTGTATTTTAGGAGTTTATCTAGAGAAGTACTCTCTAAGTGAGATTTCTGCTATGATGGAAATATTCTATATCTGTTCAGTCCAATATAATAGCCCCTTTTGTTCTTTAAATGTAACTAGTGTTACTGAGGAACTGAATTTTTAATTTTTATCTAATTTTAATTAATTTTTATCTAAATTTAAATGCAAACATATAGCAAGTATCCATCCTATCGACAGTACAAATTTTGATATTACAATATAAATCTTAGATTCATTACTGCTCACCTTCAAATAATACTGTTCTACTTCACAGGCAGTACATATAAATGGTTTATACACATTAAATATATATTAACATGCATATTTAATTAATGAATTTGATTTTTAGAGCAGTTTTAGATTCACAGAAAAATTAAGTGGAAAGTACAGAGTTTCCATATAATTCCTCTCCCCATCCAACCTCCCCAGCACACAGCCTGCCCACTATTGACTTCCCACACCACAGTGGTCAGTGGTACATTTATTATAATTGATGAACCTACATTGACACGTCATTACCACCTAGAGTCCATAGTTTATATTATAGTTGATTCTTGGTGTTGTGCATTCTGAGGGTTTTGAAAAGTATATAATGACCTGTATCCACCATTTTACTGTGTTATACAGAACAATTTAACTGCCCTTAAAATCTGCTGGTCTTTGCCTATTCATCTGTTCCTCTCCACAGCTCCTCATAATCACTGATTTTTTGATTGTCTCAATAGTTTTACCTTTTTCAGGATGTTATATAGTTGGAATTATTCAGTATGTACCCTTTTCAGATTGGCTTCTTTTACTTTACATTTTCATAGAGATGCGGTCTCATTATGTTGCCCAGGTTGGTCTTGAGCTCCTAACCTCAAGCAATTCTCTTGTTTTGATCTTCCAGTTAGGATTATAGACATAAGCCACCACACCCAGCCTCAACCTCTGCCTTTATTCATAAAATTTACTTCTCATAAATGACATAGGGTTTTTTCTCTTTTTTTACATAATCTTTTGGTCTCTGACCTTTACATGAAGTGTTTAGTTTATTAACATTTAATAGAATTATTGACATAGTCTGATTTGAATCTCCTGTTTTTATATTTGCTTTCTACTTATCCCATTTGTTATGTTTCTCTGTTTGCATTTACGGTTCATCCATGTCCTTTTATGGCTTGATAGCCCATTTCTCTTTAATGCTAAATAATATTACGTTGTCTGGATGTACAACAGTTTAATTATCAATTAACCTACTGAAGGATATCTTGGTTGCTTACAGGTTTTGGCAGTTATGAATAAAGCTGCTATACACATCTGTGTGTAGGTTTTTGTGTTGACATTAGTGTTTTAATTGCTTTGGGTAAATAAAAAGGAGCACAATGGCTGAATCCCTTGGCAAGAGCATTTTTATATTTCTACGAATCTGCCAAACTATCTTCCAAAGTTGCTGTACCATTTTATTCTCATCAGCAACGAAGGAGAGCTTCTGTTGCTCCACACCCTCACCAGCATTTGAAGTTGTCAGTGTTCTTGGTTTTAACCATTCTAATAGAGATTTAGTGGTAACTCATTGTTTTAATTTGCAATTCCCTAGTGGCATCTGATGTTAAACTTATTTTCATATGTTTACTTTCTATTTGTATATTCTTTTTGGGGAGGTGACTATTAAGGTACTTGTCTCATTTTTTAAATTGGATTCTTCCTTTTAATATAGTTGAGTTTTAAGAATTCTTTATGCATTTTGCATAACAATCCATTATTACATGAATCTTTTGCAAATATTTTCTCCCGGTTCGTGGATGTCTTGTCACTTTGTTGACATTTTCTTTTCCAGAGCAGAAGTTTATAATTTTAATGAACTCCAACTTATCAATTATTTGAGGATTATGCCTTTGGTGTTATACATTAAAAGCCATCCAAAACCCAAGGTTACCTCGATTTTCTCTAATTTTTTTTCTAAAAGTTTTACAGTTTTTGTTTTACATTTAGGCCTGTGATCCATTTTGAGTTAATTTTTTTGAAGGGTGTACATTGTGTGTCAAGATTTTTTGTTTTTGACTGTAGATGTCCAGTTGTTCCAGTACCATGTTGAAAAGACTCTTTGCTTCATTCAGCTTTCACTCCTCTATCAAAGATCAGTTGACTGTATTTATGTGGGTCTATTTCTAGGCTCTTTATTCAGTTCTGTTGATCTATTTGTCTATTCTTTTAGTAATACAACATTGTCTTGTTTATGCTAGCTTTATGGTAAGTCTTGAAGTCAGGTAGTTTTAGTCCTCCAACTTTATTTTTCTCTTTTAATATTGACTTGGCTTTCTGGGATCTTTTGTCTCCCATATAAACTTTAGAATAGGTTTGTAAATAGCCACAAAATAACTTGCTAGGATTTCAGTTGGGATTGTGTTGAATCTATGGAAGAAGTTAAGAAAAACAGATATCTTGACAATAGTGAGTATTCCTATCCATGAACATAGAATACAACTCCATTTATTTGTGTAGTTTTATTTTTATATCATTCATAAAAGTTTTTTAGCTTTCCTTATTTAGACCTTGTACATATTTTATTAGATTAATGTCCAAGTATTTAATTTTTAGGTTGCTAATGTAAATAGTAATGAGTTTTTAATTTCAAATTCCACATGAACTTTGTTGGTATACAGGAAAGAGATTGACTTTTGAACATTAACATTCTATCCTGCCACAGTACTATAATCATGTATTAGTTTGTGGAGGTTTTTTGTTGTTGTTATTGTTGACTCTTTTGATTTTCTACATAGAAAATCATGTCATCTCAGGACAAAAATAGTTTTATTTATTCCTTTCCAATCTATAGATATTTTATTTCTTTTTTTTTTTTTGTCTCATTGTATTAGCTAGGACTTCCAGTACAGTATTGAATAGTTGTGAAAGGGACATCTTTGCCTTGTTCCTGATGTTTATGAGGAAGCTTATAGTTTATTACAATTAAGTATGATATTAGTGGTAGAATTTTTGTGGAAAGTATAATTTTCTTCTCTTCCTGTGCTTTGTGCACCTTATTTCTCATACCTTTATTCTACATATGCTAAGAGCCTCTTAATACATTCAGTGTGTATATACATATATATCTTCTGTAGTCTTTTAAAAGTATAGAAATGTACATATAAATATAAATATAGATTGGAGATCTTTTGTATTTACCCATTTTCATGTCTTTCCTTTATTTATGCAGACCTGGAATTTCATTTGGTATAATTTCTTTTAGCCTTAAGAGTTTATTTTACCATGTCTTGTAGTGCAAAGCCACGAGAAGCAAATTCCCTCAGTTTATATCATCTGAAAATTACCTTATTTACCTTCCTTTTTAAAGGCAACTGATAGATAGATAAATAGATAAACAGATATATAGATAGTTCATACTTAGGTTGATGTTTTTTTCTTTTAGCATTTTAAATATATTATTACTTTGTCCAATAATATGTTGTCAATTATTTTTATTTGTATTTATTTTTGCTTTTTAAATAATTTCAACTTTTATTTCATATTCAAGGGGCACATGTACAGGTTTGTTACCTGTGTATGTTGTGTGATGCTGAGGTTTGGATTATAATTGATACCTTAACTCAGGTATGGAGCATAGTACCCAATAGTTTTCAATCCTTCCCCCACTCCTTCCTTCCCCCTCTAGTAGTCCCCAGTGTCTATGGTGCCATCTTTATGTCCATAAGTACTCAATGTATAACATTTCTTTATCACATTCACTGTAGATGGACAGCTAGGTTTATTTTGTCTTTGCTATTATGAATAGTGCTATGATGAACACATGAGTGCATGTGTCTTTTTGGCAGAATGATTTATTTTCTTTTGAATATATGTACCCAGTAAAACAATTGTTGGGTCTAATGGTAGTTCCATTTTAAGGTCTTTGAGAAATCTTCAACCTGCTTTCCACAGTGGCTGAACTACCTTACATTCCCACCAACAGTGTCTAAGTTTTCCCTTTTCTCTGCAGGCTCACCAGCATCTATTGTTTTTTGACTTTTTAATAATAGCCATTCTGACTGGTGTGCATATTGTTGGTCCATGGCATATAATGTGTCTAGTTTTAATGGCTACTTTTAAGTCACATTCAATGTCTTTAGTTTCTAGCAATTTGACTATAAAGTGCCCAGGAGTGTTTTGCTTTGTAGTATCTGTATAGGGTTCACAGAGTATATTAATCTGTTTTCATGCTGCTGATTAAGACATACCAAGCCGGGTGTGGTGACTTACACCTGTAATCCCAGCACTTTGAGAGGCCGAGGCAGGCGGATCATGAGGTCAGGAGTTCAAGACCAGCCTGGCCAACATGGTGAAACCCCATCTCTACTGAAAATACAAAAATTAGCTGGGTGTGGTGGTAAGTGCCTGTAGTCTCAGCTACTCAGGAGGCTGAGGCAGGATAATCACTTGAAACTGGAAAGGTGGAGGTTGCAGTGAGCTGAGATTATACCATTGCACTCCAGCCTGGGCAACAAGAGCAAAACTCCATCTAAAGACATACCCAATACTGGGTTATTTATAAAGAAAAAGAGGTTTCATGGGTTCACAGTTCCACATGGCTGGGGAGGCCTCACAATCATGGTAGAAGGAAAAAGGCACATCTTACATGGTGGCAGGCAAGAGAGAATGAGAGAACCAAGCAAAAAGGAAAACCCCTTATAAAATCATTAGATTTTGAGTGACTTATTTACTACCATGATAACATTATGGGGAAACTGCCCCCATGATTCAATTATCTCCCACCAGGTCCCACCCACAACACATGGGAATTATAGGAGCTACAATTCAAGATGAGATTTGGGTGGAGACACAGCCAAACCATATGGTTCTACCCCGGCCCCTCCTAAATCTCATGTTCTCACATTTCAAAACCAATCATACCTTCCCAACAGTCCCCCAAAGTCTTAACTGATTTCAGCATTAACTCAAAAGTCCACAGTCCAAAGTCTCATCTGAGACAAGGAAAGTCCCTTCTACCTATGAGCCTGTAAAATCCAAAGCAAGTTAGTTACTTCTTAGACACAATGAGGGTACAGGCATTGGATAAACACACCCATTCCAAATGGGACAAATTGGTCAAAAAGAAGGTGCTAAAGGCCCCATGCAAGTTCAAAATCCAGGAGGGCAGTGAAATCTTAAAGCTCTAATATGATCTCCGTTGACTCTATGTCTCACATCCAGGTCACATTGATGTGAGAAGTGAGTTCCCATATTCTTGGACAACTCTGCCCCTATAGCTTTGCAGGGTACAACCTCCCTCCTGGCTGCTTACATGGGCTGGCACTGAGCGTCTGCAGCTTTTCCAGGCACACGGTGCAAGCTGTCAGTGGATCTGCCATTCTGGTGTCTGAAGGATGGTGGCTCTTTTCTCACAGCTTCACTAGGCAGTGCCCTAGTGGGGACTCTCTGTGGGGGCTTCAACAGCACATTTTCCTTCCATGCTGCCCTAGCAGAGGTTCTCCGTGAGGGCCCCACCCCTGGAGCAAACTTCTGCCTGGACATCTAGGCATTTCTGTACATCTTCTGAAATCTAGGTATAGGTTCCCAAACCTCAATTCTTGACTTCTGTTCACATGCAGGCTCAATACCATGTGAAACCTTGCAAAGCTGGGGACTTGCACCCAGGCCACAGGCTGGGCTGTATCTTGGCCCCTTTTGGCCATGGCTAGAGCATCTGGGATGCAGGGCCCCAAGTCCCTAGGCTGCACACAGCAGGGAGCCCTTGGGCCCAGCCCAGGAATTCATTTATTCCTCCTAGGCCTCCAGACCTGTGATGGGATTGCCGCAAAGGTCTCTGACATCCCCAGGAGACACTTTCCCCATTGTCTTGGCAATTAACATGTGGCTGCTTGTTACTTATGCAAATTTCTGCACCTCACTTGAGTTTCTCCTCAGAAAATAGGTTTTTCTTTTCTATCACATTGTCAGGCTGCAAATTTTCCAAATTTCTATGCTCTGTTTTCCTTTTAAAACTGAATATTTTTAGCAGCAGCAAAGTCACATTTGGAATGCTTTGCTACTTAGAAATTTTTTCCTACAGATATGCTAAATCATCTCCCTCAAGTACAAGGATCCATAAATCTCTAGGGGAGGGACAAAATGTTGCCAGTCACTTTGCTAAAACATATCAAGAGTTACGTTTACTCCAGTTCCCAACAAGTTTCTTATCTCCATCTGAGACCACCTTAGCCTGAATTTCATTGTCCATATCATTATCAGCATTATGGACAAAGCCATTTAACAAGTCTTTAGGAAGTTCCAAACTTTCCCACATTTTCCTATCTTCTTCTGAGCCCGCCAAACTGTTCCAACCTCTGCCTGTTACCCAGTTCAAAAGTTGCTTCCACATTTTTGGGAAGCACCCTACGCTACTGTTATCAATTTACTGTATTAGTCTTTTTTCATGCTGCTGATAAAGACATACTGAAAACTGGGTAATTCATAAAGAAAAAGAGATTTAATGGACTCACAGTCCCATGTGGCTGGGGAAGCCTCACAGTCATGGCAGAAGGCAAAAGGCATGTCTTACATGTCAGCAGGCAAGAGAGAATGAGAGAATCAAGCAAATAGGGAAGAGCTTTATAAAATCATCAGATCTCGTAAGACTTATTTACTACCATGAGAACAGTATGGGGAAAACCACCCCCATGATTTAATTGTCTCCCATTGGGTCCCTCCCACAACACATGGGAATTATGGGAGCTACAATTCAAGATGAGATTTGGGTGGGGACACAGCCAAACCATATCACAGAGTGTCTTGGATATGTGTGTTAATGTCTTTTAATCCTTTTGAATAATTCCATGCAAATTTATTTAGATTCTTTTTTCAAAATCATATTCTTTCTTCTCTTTCTACACTCATGGTAGGTTTGATATTGTCCCACAGATCTCAAGCACTTTTGTCTATTTTTTTCTCTTTGTACTTCAAAATGAATGCCTTCTATTGGCCTGTCTTTGAGAATAACTTTATATTCTTCTCTTCCTCCAGTCTGCTGTTAAGTTAATCTAATAAACTTCATTTTCATAGTGTACTGTTTTCTAGAATTTTCATCAGATATTTTTATTTAATATAGTATCATTGTCTCTGGAAAACTTTCTCCATCTCCTCACTCTTTTTGGCTATTTTTTATACTAGATCTTTTAGATGTTTAATTATAAATTTTTTAAGAATGTGTCTGACAATTCTAACATCTGGGCCATCTTTGCCTCTACTTTTCTTTGTATATTCTCTCTTGGCCATGAGTTTTATTTACTTGCTTCTTTGAATGTCATGTAAGTTTTTATGGTACTAGAGATATTTTACATTCAAAAAACAGTAGAAATGAAAGTAATCATATTTATTTCCAGAAAATAGCTAGAGTTAAGCACCAAATAAACCTTATATGTGGTTGATATGTGTTAGGGCTATGTGGCAACTTTAATCTGACCATAATCTTTCAATGTTTTGAGAGTGGAGTTAGAATTTACCTCTGGTGGGCTTGGGGTCTAAACACTACTGAGATGCATATGTCTCTATGTTTTTCTGCCCAAATGTTGGCTTTTGAAAACATGGAGCTCTCTCTCTCTCTGCTTGTCAGTCTAGCTGCCAGCTCTATGGGCTGCTGGGGAGTTCTCTTTGCTTTCCTTCAGTCTTCCCTGAGGCTTTCTATGCCAGGAAGGCCTCCTTCCTCCAAAAATGTTTCAGATAAGTCTCTCTTAGAACTCTTATCTGCCCCCAGCCCTTGGAAGATAAATCCTGTATTGAAATTGATCCCTCCTAGCTCTTCTCTCTTCCCTTCAAGCCTTTGGAAAACTGCCCTGAACACTTGGTAAAGACTCAGGCAATAGAGTTGGCAAGTGAATGCAGATTTGCTCTGCAGTTAAGGGGCTCAGAATTCCAGTTTTTCTTAGCAGTCCACACATAGGCTTTAAAATTTTGTTAAAGATTTGGTTGATTTTTCCTTTTGTCTGTCCATAAGGGAATTTTTCTTTTTCTGCCAAGCAGCTAGGGAGGAGAGCAGCTTTGTATGTCTTCTCTCCCAAAAGTGTTCATCACTGAAGTTTAGTTTATTTAAAGTTTCTTTGCATTGTCGCTTTTTTGATGGGTTCAGAAAATCTGATTTTGTATCTCACTGAATCCGTTTTGTTTGTTATTATGAGAGTTGCACTTTCTTGTAACTTTCTATTTCATGATTGGAAGGGAAACTATCACTAAATACACATTTGTTGACAAAATTGAAAGAAGCAGGGGGGCAGTCTCTATTGTGCTATGTTTTCAAATTCTAGGTCTGTTCCTAATTTGTTTCTTGCTATATCCATGACTAGGTTTCTTTTAACATTTCTGTTTTCTGAAATATAAAAAGAGGATAATAATTATGCCTAATTTATATACATTTTGTGAGAATTAAATGAGTTACTATATATAAAGCCTTAGACTAATACCTGGAGCATAGTAAGAATTGTGTAAATGTTTGTTATTTCTATTTTTTATTTCGAATAGGATTTTTCTTCAGAAAGCATGTAACGTGTTCAAAAATTTCAGCAAGGAAAAGAAAGGATCAAGATTAATTACCCCCTGCTTTGTAGAGGGTAGACTTAAAAACCACTACCAATTATTAAAACAAAAAGTATTTCCATACATAGAGTAGTGTTTAATCAACCTGAATAACACTTTCAAGTTGTTGGTGAGTGAGGTGTTTCATCACTGGAATTAGACACTTAGTTGAATGGGGGAGGAAATATGCTGTTACATAAGTTAAAATAAAAGTGACAATTAGCCCCTCTTGCTTGAAGGCCTAAATAATCATTGCTGATCTGTATAACTCCTAGAGTTGATGGAATGCCCTACAGGACAATGCACAGCTGATACACTCACCGTTTTTATGCCATCCCTCAAGCAGCACTGGCTGACTTTGCCTGGTTATAGGCTCCTGGGATTCTCTACAAATGAAAGAAATAAGCTGCAAAAACCAGAGGAAACAACTTTTTAGCCTCCAGTTTTTTCCCCTTTTAGTCTTTCTCTTCAAAGTCTTTCCTCTCCAAAGTCTCACCCCTTATTTCTTATTACCATCATAATACCTATCAAATATCCTCTCATTTTTTCTCTTTTTCTCATGCACTTAAAGTGAAAATAATAATAGCTGATGTAGTATCACTTATGTATTAGAGAGATTAATGCATGACATTCTTCGAAAAATGTATTTCTTAGTAATCTAGGACTTCAAAACTGTTAAAAAAAAGGTATTGAAAAAGATCTTATCAATTAAAACAAACAAACAAACAAACCCAGAATTATTTAAGTTGGGTCTAGCCAGTCAAATTTGTGATCTGACAAAACTGTGGCTCCAGACCACAAACTCTTGTATCCCTGGCATTCATAGCTCTGTCTTCTCAGTCTTCTCATGGTCTCCTAGATTTCTTCAGTTATAAAACATATGGCAAAAGAACAAGGTTTGTGTGTTTAATAACATTGGGAGTACTCAACTATTCCATTTTTCTCTCAGCTTCATTCTTCCCTGATACCCTCACACAACTCTCCTCTGTCTCTCTGTGTCTCTCTCTTCCTGTATCTCTCTCTCTCACACACACACAGACACACAGAGAGAGAGAGAGAGAAAGAGAAAGCTGAAAATAATGCAATACAGTACATGTATTCTGATGCACTTCCAGGTTCTGTGGTTGCTGGTTCAAGGAGGTATTTTTAGATAAGGGGCTCTTCCAGTATAAACAACCACATGTATGTAAGTCTGGCTCTATTTCTAATGAATTTTCCAAGAAATAAGGGCTTTTGGGATGCAGTATGTATATTTTCTAAATGAAAAGTTGAAAGTGGGCAACCTGCACTCCCTCCCATCTGTCCCTGTGCACTAGGCTAGGCGAACGACCACCATCGGTCATACAATCTGCTCCACCCACTCCACTAAGGGATTGTTTCCTCTTTGCCTTGTTTTCAAGGTTGATGGTCTCCGAGCCAGACAGGCAGGCAGGCAGCTGCAGAGGATAAGAGCACAGCTCTTGAATCCTGTAGATAATTGCCAAAGGCAGCTGAGTTCAGGAGCCCCACCTGTTAAAGAGCTGCCAATTATTTATATGCTTATAAATCACCTTTTAAACACTAACAAGCACTAATAAGCCTTGGCTGCCAGTTACCATGGTAACTAGCCATGTCCCAAAGGGGAAAGAGACTACTGACATATGGACTCTGGGCCAATGGTCCAGTATCTCCTGGGACTGATGTTTTTACTCCTGCACATGAAACTGTTCTGTCCAAGTACAACCTAAAATCACATGAAAAGGAAACCATAGGACATAATGAAATGCTGCCTTTTCTCCTGCAGCCCACAGTGTCTAAAGGGAATAGAATTGTGTCCAACTTCCCATGAGCAATGGGAACAGGCTGCCCTAACTTGTTAAGTGGCAGTTCCTATGTACAGCCACACAGCTGGGTCTACTACCCAGGCCACCTGCTGCCAGATATTTTATTCCTGAAAGCTTCCTGGGCTGCTGGGCTCCACTGCTCTAAAGAGGTTTTCCTAATACATTCAGTTTGCTGTTGCAAATAGATAAGATGATAAGCTACTTGTGGTTTGCTCAGTAATATTTAGTGAGATGCAAGGAATGGTTTTAGATGAAAAAACATATTTCTGCTCCCAGCAAACTGCAGGCATTTCTTCCTTTTAAAAGCACAGTAAGAAAGCAACCACCAGTGACCCAAAGCTCTTATTATATAATAGAGAAAGAAAACTACCTTCTGCCTTCAACTAGTTTTCCAAAGTAGTTATAAAGAAGCTCACCACAAGTAGTATCTGGTATGAGATGGCAGATACCAAAGAAGCTCATGGATACAGAGATAAGTGAAGAGTGATCTACCCAAGCAACAGAGGAATGTGATTGTAATTGCTTTGCCATGACTCACCCAGAAATGGCTTTTGCCATGCCTTCTAAAACATACTAGTTTTCAATAGAAAATTGAATTGCTGATACCACAAAGATCTTCCTTTCCCTTCAAAGGGTATTCAAATTGATACCTTTAATCTCCCAAGCTGTCAACTGTGGGGCAAACAACATTAGCTTAAGACCAAGAGTAGCTAATTCAGGATTTATTAGTATTCTTACTATTTATGTACTTTGAGCTGGAGAATAGAGGAAATGAATGAGCCTCTTTGCAAATATTTAGGTTTTGATGAAAACTGTGCTAGTGGCTGGAGTATATTGTTCCCCCTACCTTGGGCTGTTTCCTGATCTCTGCATTCATTACATTATGGAAGGGAAGGGTGTTCAGAGGCTGCATGAGATTTTGTATAATATATAACTGGATATATGTACATGTTTCCTTAGAGTTATACATATTCTAGTACTGGAGAATGTGTCCTTTCCTTGGCATTGTTCTTTTCTATGGAAAGTGTCTACTTCATGTTTGATTTCTATCAGTCCTTCCAATCTCTTATGCTTGTTAGTCTAAATATTCAGATAGGGATTTAGAGATAAGGTTGGGGTCTTGGGTAGCATATTACACAGATTGGTCCCAAAAATGAGATATTCTGGCATGAGCAGAGTTGACCATGTGAATAAAAATCTAGTGGAAAAGAAGATATAGGACTGATGAGAGGTCAAGAGAGAACCAATTGTGCTCAAAACATTGTCATAATTTAATTGTTGCAAAGAATGTCTAGGTATTGACATTGATAATGAAAGGATAATCAACCATGTGAATTGTGGAGAAAGGTTTATGGGAGAACTCGTGGTCCTCTGGTCTTGCTCCAGCAGGTTGGCGGTGAGGTTGGCAAGGTGAATGAGTAATTTGTAAGTGTGTGCTTGATTGATTTAATAAGGAATCAAGTCATTTGTAATGTTGAGGGAAAGCAGACAGACTTATTTCCTATACAGGTGAAAATTTAACTGCCTCCACCCCACCCCACTCTAAATGAAACCTTGTCTTCATTTAGAGTGTTTAAGTGGAAAGAATAGAAACTGGAAACAGGACGCCAAAACTGCTTGTGATTCTAAATATGTGTGTACCATTGGGCAAGTCATTTCTCATTTTAAGGCCGTAGTTTTCATATTCCCCCTTTAGGTACTTTATAAGGATGTATCTGTTTATAACTATATAATTAATGTGTAAAATCTATAAAAGGTGAATATTTCTAAATATTGTCAGTGTAAAAGATGATAATATTAGTAATGCTAATAATGACTCCTCCTGTCTTTTGAGAGTGAACTAATACTCTCAGAATTGACTAAGAATGGATATTGAATAAAATACATAGATAAACTAAAAGAAGACTGCTCTAGACACTACTGTAAAATACTGAAAGAAAGAACTATGGGAAACATTTAAAAAGGGAAAAACGTAGATACCAACGGGATGGAAAGAGGCATGAGTAGAGGGGGGTGTAGAGGGGCAGGAAGGATGCTTGCTGACAACTCTGGAGACAGCTCCTGGCTCTGTCACTCACTGAGTGGCCTAAAACAAGCTGCTGAATCTCTCTCCAACTGGAAGTTCTCATTCTCTAACAAAAAGGTCTTTTATCAAATAAAATTGAAAATGGAACCTGGGTGTATGAAAATTGCTAAAAATCTTGTTTCTTTTGTTGAAAGCTTTCTCAGCATTTTCTTTACTTCCACTTCACATTGTGGTCTTGGGACACATTATTTAAAAATCCAAGAATTTGGAAACTCATAGCTTGAAAACCAGGGAACTGGACGGCATCTAGTATTCTAACTGTACCATTCTTGCTTCTGAGATTCAAACACTCCTAGTGAAATCTGAATTCCTTCGAGAAGGAAATTAAAATAGAAATTAAAGGATGACTCAGGTGGAAAAAGTAACTTATTGTTGACTGAGCTAGTCCAAAAAACAAACATCTAGAAACGATAGTCACCATAAAAGAGAGAAGAGTCCATGGGCAAGCAATGTCCCTCAAATCAATACTATTCTAAGAACATTTGTATAAACAGAGTAGGAAGATGAGCCATTAAAGAGTCTATGAAAATAACTTGTATTGGCAGCCTCAACTCTCCATATTCATTGACATCTAATGCAGGCTGATAAAATTGGCAACTCAGATGGGCTAAACACCCCAATATACCCGAGGAGAGGGTCCACAGGGGTGTAATCTTAGCCAGTTCTCGTTCACACAGCCTACTTTGTTATATTCCTTCCCTTTTTGTCCAATAATTCAGGGAGATTTCTAAAGAGAAATAGCATATGCATTGGCCCACTCCTGAAAAGAGGCAGCTGAACAGACTTCTGACAAGGTTCATTCAATCTTTTGCAAACAAACAGAAAGGAGGGTTTTTGGGGTACAAGATCCACCTGCCTTTCTAATGAAGTCATCAGTTTCTACCAAAGTTTTATGCAAAATGCCACACACACACACACAATTCTTCTACAAGAAAGCTCATACAACTCTTTCCTGAGTTTCAGAATAAGATTACTATTGTTTGGGGTTTTAAAGCTTTGGGGAAATTCTTTATATTTTCACCTTTTCTTTGAGCCTGAAATTTCAATTTCCAAGTTTGAGTTCTCCCAGTGGTCTGTACATGCACTGCCAGATGGGCTATACAGTTGAGAGAGGAAATGGAGAAATGCAGCTTTGGGTGGGAAAACACATTTCTCTGATAGTCTTCTGACAGCTCTCGTCTGTATATCGTTGATGCAGTAACAAGCTCGTGAAGCTTGATGTTGAAATTTTTTTTATCTCAAAAGGAATTTTAAATATTCTGAATTTTTAGAAGTCTATTAATATAAATGTTTCAAGTTTCTATAACACCCACTTTTGTTGGTTTTCAGATCAGATGCTACTCACTAAGGATAGTAAATGAGACATTTGGCTGAAATCTCACTTGGCATGCCTGATGATGTTGGAAAGTCAGCTTATTTTATGGTTAATATCTGAAGGGGCAAAGGATGAGTAAGAGGAAGTGATGTTCTAATATTTTTAGCTCCTTCTTATCCAAGCAACTGAAGACCTCACATCTAACCATTTCTCTTTCATTTTTTTCTGTCTTTCCATCCTTTCATTGTTGTTCTTCTATTGTGCATCCTTACGTGTGTGTGTGTGTGTGTGTGTGTGTGTGTGTGTGTGTTGTGTGGAGAGATGGAGAGATTAAGAAGAAAGGAGTAAGGATTAGGTTTTGAGGGTTTTTTTGCATGTTTGTTTTGTTTTGTTTTTGAGAGAGAGTCTCACTCTGTCACCCAGGCTAAGTGCAGTGGTTCACTGCAATGTTGAACTCCCAGGCTCAAGCGATCCTCCTACCTCAGCCTCCTAAGTAGCTGGGACTACAGTTGTACACCACCATGCCTGGCTAATTTAAAAAAAAAAAGTAGAGACAAGGATCTTGCTATGCTGCCCAGGATGGTCTTGAACTCATGGGCTCAAGTGATCTTCCTGTCTTGGCCTCCCAAAGCGCTTGGATTATAGGCATGAGCCACCACACCTGGCTAGCTTAGAGTTTTAAGGAGAAAAGAGAAGAAATAATTTTAATTTTATTTTTCATTATGTCAAGTCCTTTTCTATGTCCCAGACTGAGCCCCACCTAAAATGAGTATTTAATTTGGATACTTGATACTATACCTCATTAATTTAGAAAGAAAATGATTAAGGAGTGTGTGTGTGTGTGTGTGTGTGTGTGTGTGTGTGTGTAGTGTGTAGGACAGGTCTGTGTGCAGCTACAAAGAAAATGTGTCCCATATAATTATACATGTGTCTCCACAACTATTTTGCTGCTAGTAAAGTTCAGTGCAAGCCCTGTGTTTTGACTCTTGTGTATCTCTCTAAACGATTTCTCCTCCTGATAGCCTTACTCTAGACATACTAAAAAGCTTGCATTACCAAATGAGTAGAACAATGTATAGTTTCCTTCTCACTCCTCTTTCTTCTCAATTTATAAGAAATATATTTCGCTTCATCATCACTTTTACAACGAAGATTTACTTGAAATTATTTGCCCCATTCAGAAACTTTGAGAATACTTAATCAGTTTCAACTTTGTGCCTTCATTCTTCCTTTTGCAAATATCTCAAATGTTTTGCAGCATCTCAAATTTCTAGTGTGCTAATGTGTTAGTTGGCATGATATTTCCTGTTCTGTGAAAGCATAAACTGTGAAAGTAGGAGTATACCTGATTCCTTCTCATATTCCCATCATCTGACCAAGTATCTGGACCTGGAAGTTTTATACACCTATAATATATAAATAACATATTTATTATTATAGTCATATTCCAATATCACTACATATACAGTATTGTGACAAATCTCAATTTTATATAAGGCTCAGAGCATCTAGTTACTTGATGATTATTTGGGTTCTGCCTCTGATATGCTGGATTTTAGGACTGGCTGGCTTTTGAGGGCACTGCTGGGAGGATATAGCAGGGAGGGGAGAGGACCTTCTGGGAAGCCAGAACTTGTGGCAGGGCCACGGAGTCAAGATATGAAGGACGGGCAGGAAAGACTGCTGTACCTCCTGCCTTTGCGGAGCTGGTGTTAGGAATGAGGCCAACCTGAATTTCGAGAAGGGAGCTGGAAAAGGATTTCTGGAAGGGAGCTGCATGGGGATGGTTAAGGCAGTGTTAAGAAAATGAAGCTGTATTTGACATTCATGGTTTAAAGTCATTACTTTACAAAACTATTTTCCTAAGGCCTCTGGACAGATTCTAATGTGATCCAGCAAATGTCTGCTTGGCTCCAAACTAATGGGCATCTGCTAATTTTTCTAACTGTTTTAATCATTGTTGGGGCTTTGCTTTAGAACGTTTCCAAATCTCCTCCTTCTCACTAAAGTCCCAAGCCTTCAAAGTCTATGCCGATTTTAATAAAGGACTAGGAGGATTACCTTACATTCCCACATTTAGCATTCTTATTTAAGATTCCATTCTTTGTCTCACTTAAATATATCATAATGCAGAATAGATATCCTTGAATTTCCAGGAGCCGATGACTTACAAAACGAAAATTCAATCTGAGATTACACATAAGCAAAAAGCAATTTGTGTGTGTGCCTTACACACTACAGTAGGATGTTCTTGAGGACAAGGACTTTTCTTGAAAATTTTCCCCTAGCACTTCGCAGTCTCTGGCTTCTGTTTTTTCCCTTTTGTCAAAGGTAAAAATTCAGGATTTGTTTATTGCTTTCATCTCGAAACCCTCCTAATCAAGAGTGCTTGGTGACTAAATACCGAATGGAAAATTAAGAACAAAAAATTCCAGAAAATGTTTTCAGTACAAATATTAGATAATTTTTAAATTTTCAATTGTTTTTTAATAATCCAATGTGGGGCATAGGGTGTAGAGTGAAGGGGAAGAAATGAAAGAAAAAGATTGTTCAAAAAAAAAAAAGACAAAGGAGTGCAGAGAAGGAAAATTTTCAGAAAAGAAATTAGAGTGAATGTGAGTCAGAAGTGTAGGGAAAGGGAGAGAAAACAAAGTGGAGACAGTGACTGGGGCAAAGTCAGAAACGCACATGCTAAAAAGGGCAAAGACAAGGAGTAACCACCCTAATTTCCCTACTCATCAAAATCTGTCATAATTCAGCCCAGAGAGGCCTGGATTTGCAGCTTAGCTGAAATAACCTTCCACTATCTGTCACTGGAGAAATAGTTGAACTAGATGATTGGTCCTACTTTGTCTTGTTCTCAAAGGTCTCATTCACACATTCCAAAATTGTAGCCTTCTCTAAATAATTTATTTTTAGTCATATAGGAATAGGTGTAACAGTTCAGATATTCCCCAGTAGCAAATCTTCAGGTTACTGAATAGACCATTAACTAAAGCATAACCCATTTAAGATTAGTCCTAAAATTCCAGATCTCTGACGAGTTTAACAAACTATGTATAAATGGATATAAAATATTATCTTTACATAGAGAGAAAGGTAAAGATTTCAAAAAGTTATGAGAAGTTATAGGTACTATTTCTTTAGAATAATACTTAATGGGAAGTGTAGCTACCAGTATTGCTTCTGACAAACAACACTTGGTTCACCCCTAACACTCCAGTACCGGTATTTATGAAAGTTAGGTCCTTATACTTTCCATAAATTTCAGAAACATTAAAATGAAGTACAATGTGATGTCTACAGTAAAGATATACTTCTTAGTTAAACTAAATAAAGAGTAGGACTTTGCTAAATTTGTCTAAATTAAATTGAACTATTTCTACAAACCCCTATGGAATAGTTACCATAATCAAGCACTGTGCTAGTCCCTGTGCATTCAAAGGCAAGCAGCTTATGATTCACATTCTCTTATTTTTTGAGATGGAGTTTCACTCTTGTTGCCCAGGCTGGAGTGCAATGGCACAATCTCGGCCCACTGCAACCTCCACCTCCTGGGTTCAAGCGATTCTCTTGCCTCAGCCTCCTGAGTAGCTGGGATTACAGGCATGTGCCACCACACCTGGCTAATTTTGTATTTTTAGTAGAGACAGGGTTTCTCCATATTGGTCAGGCTGATCTCAAACTCCCGACCTCATGGGATCTGCCCACCTCAGCCTCCCAAAGTGCTGGGATTACAGGCATGAGCTACCATGCCCAACCTGATTCATATTCTTAAGGAGTTTGTAAAATAGTGAAAATGGTCCATGATCTACTCTAAAATAGTATACAGATGTGTTTTCAAAGAACTCTGATGCGTTTGACAACTCTGCTACCAAAGTGATTCAAGTGCAGACAACTCTGCTACCGTGTACTTGAAATGATTCAAGTGCTTTCTATGAGAGTAAAGCAAGGGACACTACCCAAGATGGAGCAGAAAGCAGAAAGAGATGGTATTTAAACGGGTCTTGATTAAGGAGTAAGAATTTGCTACATAAGTCGTATTCACAATAGCAAAGACATGAAATCAACCAAGATGCCCATCAGTGGCAGACTGAATAAAGAAAATGTGACACAAATACACTGTGGAATACTATGCAGCCATAAAAAAATGGAATAATGTCTTTTGCAGCAACGTGGATACAGCTGGAGGCCATAATTCTAAGCAAACCAGTGCAACCCTAAGCAAACGTATAGTACATTATAATACTTTGGCTCTGTCTAGAAAATAAATACTGTACATTCATGCTTATAAGTGGGAGGTAAAAACTGAATACACATAGATACAAGTAAGGGAATAATAGACGGGACTGTTTGAGGGGGTAGGGTGGGAAGGTAGGCATGCATTGGAAGGCTACCTGTTGGGCACCTTGGTAATGGGATCATTCATACAGCAAGCCTCAGTGACACACAATTTACCCATGTAACAAACCTGCACATGTACCCCCGAACCTGAAATTTAAAAATAATAATACAATGATAATAATAATTCTTGTTTTATATATTATTATTTGTATTAGTGAACAGGTTATTCACTAACATGAACAGGCTAACCTGAATAACCTGTTCTCTAGCACAAATAAAAATAATACACAAAACAAGAATTTGCTACATAAAGAAAGGTTGAAGGGAGTGGGGGAAGGAAGTAGGAGGACTCTACCCACGAAACAGACTAGGCAAAGAAATACATACACCCACGCACATACACACACACCAACACAAATGCATACACATATGCACATGGTCATATATGATGTCCTCCTTTGACAGGCTGTCAGTGTATTTAAGTCAGAGTTCTGAACTGAGAATAAGAAGAAATGCTTTTTTATCCTGGCTCTCCTACAATCTATTATGTGACCTTGAAGATCTTTAAAGTCTTAGGGCCTCAGTTATTCCAATTGTAAAATGAAAGAGCTGGATGCTATGACAGCTATGGCCCCATCCAATGAAAAAATTGGAAGATACAATAAAAACTGTGAGGTTTAAAGTTTATAATTTAGGGGATATAATTATAGTTTATGAGAAGTGATGAAAACTACCCCTTTTTATTTCTTGTAAGGGAAAACATTTTAAACTTTGATCAACAGAAAAAAAAATACTTGCAAATTAAATATGCCTTCACTCTGAATGTTTTTTCTGTTTTACAACACACAAATCTTTGGATATAAATTTGGTATTTTCTATATGAATTAAGGACATTTTCCCTCGAAATTTCAGATAAAAAAAAAACTGCTGAGAGTCAGGACATTGACATATAGTACATTATAATACTTTGGCTCTGCCTAGGCAAGAGGAGATGATAAAGAATCAGTGCAGTATTCAGCACCAAGTTTCAGGTGACACAGTTGAATGGCTGGAAATACAGTGGGGATGTACCAAATCTTCTTCTTATATCTGAATATCTGTAGGATTTTTATTTGTCAAATATGAAAACTCAAGCTCAGAACCTATGCATAATACCAAAGATAGCCCCAGATACATATCTTTCTTTCTGCAAACATCCTACAAGACTTGGAGCTCAAGGTTTCAGTCTTCAGTTCTCTGGTTCTGCATTTGCCTCATCTAGAAACAACATGAGCACAACTAAGAACCAGCCTTGGAATGTAAACTTCTATAGTAAGGCTTTAATTAAATTAAGGATGAGTTACTGAATGAATATGTTTGCATATGTATTTGTGTGTGTGTGTGTGTGTGTGTGTGTGTGTGTGTGTGTTGGGGGTGTTGGTGATGTTCTATATCTTTTCAAAATTTTTAAATATTTCTTGGGATAAATGATAATTTGTTGACTGTTTCCAGAGGTAATATATTAATATTTCATTTGTGAAATGCTTGGAAAACATCAGAATCTCATATTGTATTTGCAAATCAGAGTAACTATTATAAAATGACATTTGGGGTAATGATTTCATTTCAGTTGTTTACAAGAAAAAAATCCCACATGTATTTAAACAATTCCCTTCATAAAAGTCCATGATTTTCCACTTCGATGATAATAATGATGGTTTGTGATCTAAGAATTTCTCTTGGGAACATGAGTCCCACTATACATGTAGCAATAAACTATTGAATTAGTGTCAGTACTAATAAAACCTTGGATGAGACAAAAGGGCATATTTGGAGAGGAGACCACCCTCTTACACAGAATGTTTATCACTTCACTACACACTTAGGGATGCCCTAGACTCTTCCTACTCTGGCTTCCCACCAGCCTTTGGTACTGATCCAAACCACTTAGTGATGAATATAGGCAGTACCCTCCTTCTATTTAAAGGTCTTGCGTTTCTATTATTGTTTTTATGTTTATTATCTTAACACCTGACATTTAAAACATCTTTCTTCCAAAGAGCTCTCTGGAGTGCTATAAGGTGTCAAGTGAAGACAAATGAATGTGAAAGCATTTTGTGCTGTACAGATGTAAAGAGATATACTCTGGTCCTGCTGCTTTTGAGGAGCAACTTTCTTGCTTCTTAATTCTTGCTCCAACATGGCAAACCCTATTCAAGATGCAGTTCTTAGACTCTACTCTTATTTTTGTTCTCTTTGTCTCTCAAACACACACACACACACACACACACACACACACACACCCCTGCATTTCAACCCTTACCTCTCACCTTTACCCTGGTGACTTCTAAATCTGTGTTCCACTATGGGATACTTTCTTAAAGCCCAGCTCCATATTTATAACTATATTTTGTAAATTTATTCTTTAATATTTAAACTTTAATCTTCCCAACATAAATCTTATTATTTATTAATATTGAGGAAAACTGTTTTATAACTTTATTTGATATTCAAAATGCATTTTGAAATGTACAGAATACATTTTTTTAAATGGTCTGGCTCCAGTTAGAAATAGATTAGAATAAAGAAAGGTGTGAGATGCCCAAGGGCAGATGATAATGATGAGCAATCAAATTCAGTGAGCATATCCCAGAATATTCTGGACTCCCTAAGAATTTGAAGATGAGATCTAGTTAATAAAAATAAATAAATTCTAGGGTTATATTAAACATAAGTTGATGACAATCAAACTTTAGTGGATAAAGTCCACTTAAGCCCAGGTATTATGTGTATCACATGTTTAGAGTGGATATTAGAGAATAATTAATGTCATTTTATTTATTAATACTAACAAATATAAGCATCAACATTGAAAGGATCATATGGCTTCTTTTTGCAATTTTTACTTTCTTAATTGTGCACATCTGAGAAATTCATATTGGTTGAGCTAATGCAGCCAAACCCAGTAACAGGCACACTCCATCTCATTGAAGTAGCTAACTAGATAGCAGGCATGATGTTTATGAGGAATTAGTTCCTCACTCCACCACCCCCGATATACTTCATTATGCTTTCTCAACTTCTTGATCCCTATCAATGATGATTCCATTCTTCAGAAACCAGGGCGGGGAGGAAGTGGAGATTCATGGGACTCATCTCGAATAACTTCCTCTTACCCATTTCATATACACAGTTGGCCAACAATTCCATTTGAGTCTTCTGTTATAATATATGTTACATTTATCTTTCTTCTCTATTCTTGACTGCCAGATCATTACCTGTTAGGCTTGAATTATGGAGAAAATGTCCTAGCTGGGCCCTCAATTTCAGACAGCTTTTAGACCAAATGCCACTTTCAATAACTTGCCCAAGAGATTAAAGCCCTTCTTGTTTACTAGTGCATTATGTTCAGATTTCCCTCTTCCTGTCTTTTAAGGCTCTTTATAATTCATCTCCATCCTCCTTATCTAGAGATTCCTGCTACTCCATGGTGATCCTTCTCTGGTCAGGGACCCTCCTTTCCTGCCCCATGTCCTTGCTCTACGGTGTTGGCACCTGATTCCAAGCATTTATCTCTGTTGTTGACCCTCTTGAAATTTCTCCCACATTCTTTTTTAACCATCAACACCAACTCCTTAGTTCCATCCCTAAGTCCCACTTTCTCAGATGACTTTTTTAGGACACAACTCAGCTATTATCTTTTCCAGAAAACTTTCCCTTCAGTCTGGATTGGGTGGCCTCCTTTATGTGAACAGAGTACAATGTGAGTATTTGCAAAGCTAATACTATATTTTCACTGTCTGTTCATCTGCATCTATCTCTAGGCTGTTCACTCTTTGAGTGTAAGAATCTTACCCTGTGGTACTTTGTGACTTCAGTGTTTAGTATCCTAAATGCCACTTAGAAGGTTGAAGTGACCTTTCTGGGCATTTGGAGCTCTTTTCTCACAATTTCAGACTTAATTGCATACCATTTTCAAATCACTCTTTCTATGTGTTGATCTTCTTTTTCTAACCATATTAAAATCATCTTATTACAGAGGAATCTTATTTCAGGGATCATAGAGAATAGTTCCTACAGATCTTTCAGAGTACCCACTTACACAGTAGGTGATCATTGATCAATTTTTGTTATTTGATTAAGTAACCAAGCATTATTGCCAATACTATCACAGGCCAAAAATAATGTAACCCAGATTAGTAGGAATGAAAAGAAGTTGTGAATTATTACTCAATATTGTTCCTTAATAGAGAGGTGATCATTTTTGTCCCAAGAAAAATCATTTTGCCAGTTATGATATGCATTGAAGCAGGCACCAGCATTAGAAGGTCTCACATCAGCTTATGAATAAAAATGTTCTATCTCAAGAAATAATTGACCACATTACAAGTTTCCTTTCATTGCCTCATATCCTTCTCTTTCACTACCTATATTGGCTCACATTCCCTCTTTTTCATTTAGTGCTGTCACAACCCAAATTTTCTCCCCTGATTATCCTTTCACCTAGCCTCCTAACTCTTTAAAGTGTCTTGTCCATATATCCAAGCTAGATATTTCCTAGATCAAAGCTCTACCTATAACCCAATTCTATTGAAACAGCCAATATTCCTCATATCATCTCATTCCCATTGCTTCCAAACATCACAAATGTCTTCTAAAGCCACTTACCAGACTGATTTTATCCTAGGATCAACACTCTGTCATGCTTTCTTGAAACAGAAAAGAATACCTTAGAAGAAAGAAGACTACTTTTGCTACTGAAAAAACAAGCCATGTGAAAATTTTAACTGATAAATTGTTGTTGGGTATGGGCATCAGGAATATTTACCAAGCGTTTTGGAAAGTAGGTATATTTGTGAATTGTCTATAGTGTCTATATTTGTTTATATTTATATATACATATTATATAAAGTTTCATATTTAACTTATTTATCTATTCCTGAAAGATGCCTAGTATCTATATAAAAATTTTTAATAGACACAATATGTTGAGTTGATGATCTAAGCTAAGCTTTCTCATATGTGAGTGGCTATTAAGACTTGAAGGATTAAGATCATGTAGATTATGTTTATAATTTTAATTCTGGACCTCTTAAGGTACATTTAGAGTTGTAGACCTGAAATTTTTAAAAAACAAAGGTCTTTATCTCTTGCTAGAAAGAAGCAAGAGCTATTAAAGGACTCTTCTATACAAAAATATTTTTCCTAATGTTTTATCTATTAGAAATGTATTGAGTTCAGGAAACCCTCCTTTTATTATATTTCTTTTTTTCTTTTATTATTATACTTTAAGTTTTAGGGTACATGTGCACAATGTGCAGGTTAGTTACATATGTATACATGTGCCATGTTGGTGTGCTGCACCCATTAACTCGTCATTTAGCATTAGGTATATCTCCTAATGCTATCCCTCCCCCCTCCCCCCACCCCACAACAGGCCCCAGAGTGTGATGTTCCCCTTCTTGTGTCCATGTGTTCTCATTGTTCAATTCCCATCTATGAGTGAGAACATGCGGTGTTTGGTTTTTTGTCCTTGTGATAGTTTACTGAGAATGATGATTTCCAATTTCATCCATGTCCCTACAAAGGACATGAACTCATCATTTTTTATGGCTGCATATTATTCCGTGGTGTATATGTGCCACATTTTCTTAATCCAGTCTATCATTGTTGGACATTTGGGTTGGTTCCAAGTCTTTGCTATTGTGAATAGTGCCGCAATAAACATAGGTGTGCATGTGTGTTTATAGCAGCATGATTTATAGTCCTTTGGGTATATACCCAGTAATGGGATGGCTGGGTCAAATGGTATTTCTAGTTCTAGATCCCTGAGGAATCGCCACACTGACTTCCACAATGGTTGAACTAGTTTACAGTCCCACCAACAGTGTAAAAGTGTTCTTACTTCTCCACATCCTCTCCAGCACCTGTTGTTTCCTGACTTTTTAATGATTGCCATTCTAACTGGTGTGAGATGGTATCTCATTGTGGTTTTTATTTGCATTTCTCTGATGGCCAGTGATGATGAGCATTTTTTCATGTGTCTTTTGGCTGCATAAATGTCTTCTTTTAAGAAGTGTCTGTTCATATCCTTTGCCCACTTTTTGATGTGATTGTTTTCTTCTTGTAAATTTGTTTGATTTCATTGTAGATTCTGGATATTAGCCCTTTGTCAGATGAGTAGGTTGCAAACATTTTCTCCCATTTTGTGGGTTGCCTGTTCACTCTGATGGTAGTTTCTTTTGCTGTGCAGAGGCTCTTTAGTTCAATTAGATCCCATTTGTCAGTTTTGGCTTTTGTTGCCATTGCTTTTAGTGTTTTAGACATGAAGTCCTGGCCTATGCCTATGTCCTGAATGGTAGTGCCTAGGTTTTCTTCTAGGGTTTTTATGGTTTTAGGTCTAACGTTTAAGTCTTTAATCCATCTTGAATTAATGTTTGTATAAGGTGTAAGAAAGGGATCCAGTTTCAGCTTTGTACTATGGCTAGCCAGTTTTCCCAGCACCATTTATTAAATAGGGAATCCTTTCCCCATTGATTGTTTTTGTCAGGTTTGTCAAAGATCAGATAGTTGTAGATATGCGGCATTATTTCTGAGGTCTCTGTTCTGTCCCATTGATCTATATCTCTGTTTTGGTACCAGTACCATGCTGTTTTGGTTACTGTAGCCTTGTAGTATAGTTTGAAGTCAGGTAGTGTGATGCCTCTCCAGCTTTGTTCTTTTGGCTTAGGATTGACTTGGCGATGCAGGCTCTTTTTTGGTTCCATATGAACTTTAAAGTAGTTTTTTCCAATTCTGTGAAGAAAGTCATTGGTAGCTTGATGGGGATGGCATTGAATCTATAAATTACCTTGGGCAGTATGGCTATTTTCACGATATTGATTCTTCCTACCCATGAGCATGGAATGTTCTTCCATTTGTTTGTATCCTCTCCTTCACGTCCCTTGTAAGTTGGATTCCTAAGTATTTTATTCTCTTTGAAGCAATTGTGAATGGATGTTCACTCATGATTTGGCTCTGTTTGTCTGTTATTGGTGTATAAGAATGCTTGTGATTTTTGTACATTGATTTTGTATCCTGAGACTTTGCTGAAGTTGCTTATCAGCTTAAGGAGATTTTGGGCTGAGACAGTGGGGTTTTCTTGATATACAATCATGTAGTCTGCAAACAGGGACAATTTGACTTCCTCTTTTCCTAATTGAATACCCTTTATTTCCTTCTCCTGCCTAATTGCCCTGGCCAGAACTTCCAACACTATGTTGAATAGGAGTGGTGAGAGAGGGCATCCCTGTCTTGTGCCAGTTTTCAAAGGGAATGCTTCCAGTTTTTGCCCATTCAGTACGATATTGGCTGTGGGTTTGTCATAGATAGCTCTTATTATTTTGAAATATGTCCCATCAATACCTAATTTATTGAGAGTTTTTAGCATGAAGCGTTGTTGAATTTTTTCAAAGGCCTTTTCTGCATCTATTGAGATAATCATGTGGTGTTTGTCTTTGGTTCTGTTTATATGCTGGATTACATTTATTGGTTTGCATATGTTGAACCAGCCTTGCATCCCAGGGATGAAGCCCACTTGATCATGGTGGATAAGCTTTTTGATGTGCTGCTGGATTCGGTTTGCCAGTATGTTATTGAGGATTTTTGCATCAATGTTCATCAAGGATATTGGTCTAAAATTCTCTTTTTTGGTTGTGTGTCTGCCCGGCTTTGGTATCAGGATGATGCTGGCCTCATAAAATGAGTTAGGGAGGATTCCCTTTTTTTCTATTGATTGGAATAGTTTCAGAAGGAATGGTACCAGTTCCTCCTTGTACCTCTGGTAGAATTCGGTTGTGAATCCATCTGGTCCTGGACTCTTTTTGGTTGGTAAGCTATTGATTATTGCCACAATTTCAGCTCCTGTTATTGGTCTATTCAGAGATTCAACTTCTTCCTGGTTTAGTCTTGGGACAGTGTATGTGTCGAAGAATTTATCCATTTCTTCTAGATTTTCTAGTTTATTTGCATCGAGGTGTTTGTAGTATTCTCTGATGGTAGTTTGTATTTCTGTGGGATCGGTGGTGATATCCCCTTTATCATTTTTTATTGCATCTATTTGATTCTTCTCTCTTTTTTTCTTTATTAGTCTTGCTAGCGGTCTATCAATTTTGTTGATCCTTTCAAAAAACCAGCTCCTGGATTCATTAATTTTTTGAAGGGTTTTTTTGGTCTCTATTTCCTTCAGTTCTGCTCTGATTTTAGTTATTTCTTGCCTTCTGCTAGCTTTTGAATGTGTTTGCTCTTGCTTTTCTTGTTCTTTTAATTGTGATGTTAGGGTGTCAATTTTGGATCTTTCCTGCTTTCTCTTGTGGGCATTTAGTGCTATAAATTTCCCTCTACCCACTGCTTTGAATGTGTCCCAGAGATTCTGGTATGTTTTGTCTTTGTTCTCATTGGTTTCAAAGAACATCTTTATTTCTGACTTCATTTCGTTATGTACCCAGTAGTCATTCAGGAGCAGGTTGTTCAGTTTCCATGTAGTTGAGCGGTTTTGAGTGAGTTTCTTAATCCTGAGTTGTAGTTTGATTGCACTGTGGTCTGAGAGACAGTTTGTTATAATTTCTGTTCTTTTACATTTGCTGAGGAGAGCTTTACACTCAACTATGTGGTCAATTTTGGAATAGGTGTGGTGTGGTGCTGAAAAAAATGTATATTCTGTTGATTTGGGGTGGAGAGTTCTGTAGATGTCTATTAGGTCCACTTGGTGCAAAGCTGAGTTCAATTCCTGGGTATCCTTGTTAACTTTGTCTCATTGATCTGTCTAATGTTGACAGTGGGGTGTTAAAGTCTCCCATTATTATTGTGTGGGAGTCTAGTCTCTTTGTAGGTCACTAAGGACTTGCTTTATGAATCTGGGTGCTCCTGTATTGGGTGCATATATATTTAGAATAGTTAGCTCTTCTTGTTGAATTGATCCCTTTACCATTAGGTAATGGCCTTCTTTGTCTCTTTGATCTTTGTTGGTTTAAAGTCTGTTTTATCAGAGACTAGGATTGCAACCCCTGCCTTTTTCTGTTTTCCATTTGCTTGGTAGATCTTCCTCCATCCTTTTATTTTGAGCCTGTGTGTGTCTCTGCCCGTGAGATGGGTTTCCTGAATACAGCACACTGATGGGTCTTGACTCTTTATCCAATTTGCCAGTCTGTGTCTTTTAATTGGAGCATTTAGTCCATTTACATTTAAAGTTAATATTTTTAAGTGTGAATTTGATCCTGTCATTATGATTTTAGCTGGTGATTTTGCTCGTTAGTTGATGCAGTTTCTTCCTAGTCTCAATGGTCTTTACATTTTGGCATGATTTTGCAGTGGCTGGTACCGGTTGTTCCTTTCCATGTTTAGCGCTTCCTTCAGGAGCTCTTTTAGGGCAGGCCTGGTGGTGACAAAATCTCTCAGCATTTGCTTGTCTGTAAAGTATTTTATTTCTCCTTCACTTATGAAGCTTAGTTTGGCTGGATATGAAATTCTGGGTTGAAAATTCTTTCCTTTAAGAATGTTGAATATTGGCCCCCAGTGTCTTCTGGCTTGTAGAGTTTCTGCCGAGAGATCAGCTGTTAGTCTGATGGGCTTCCCTTTGTGGGTAACCCGACCTTTCTCTTTGGCTGCCCTTAACATTTTTTCCTTCATTTCAACTTTGGTGAAACTGACAATTATGTGTCTTGGAGTTGCTCTTCTCGAGGAGTATCTTTGTGGCGTTCTCTGTATTTCCTGAATCTGAATGTTGGCCTGCCTTGCTAGATTGGGGAAGTTCTGCTGGATAATATCCTGCAGAGTGTTTTCCAACTTGGTTCCATTCTCCCAGTGACTTTCAGGTACACCAGTCAGATGCAGATTTGGTCTTTTCACATAGTCCCATATTTCTTGGAGGCTTTGTTCATTTCTTTTTATTCTTTTTTCTCTAAACTTCCCTTCTCGCTTCATTTCATTCATTTCATCTTCCATCACTGATACCCTTTCTTCCAGTTGATCGCATCAGCTCCTGAGGCTTCTGCATTCTTCACGTAGTTCTCCTTTCAGCTCCATCAGCTCCTTTAAGCACTTCTCTGTATTGGTTATTCTAGTTATACATTCATCTAAATTTTTTTCAAAGTTTTCAACTTCTTTGCCTTTGGTTTGAATTTCCTCCTGTAGCTCCGAGTAGTTTGGTCGTCTGAAGCCTTCTTCTCTCAACTCGTCAAAGTCATTCTCCATCCAGCTTTGTTCCATTGATGGTGAGGAGCTGTGTTCCTTTGGAGGAGGAGAGGTGCTCTGCTTTTTAGAGTTTCCAGTTTTTCTGCTCTGTTTTTTCCCTATCTTTGTGGTTTTATCTACTTTTGGTCTTTGATGATGGTGATGTACAGTTGGGTTTTTGGTTTGGATGTCCTTTCTGTTTGTTAGTTTTCCTTCTAACAGACAGGACCCTCAGCTGCAGGTCTGTTGGAGTTTGCTAGAGGTCCACTCCAGACCCTGTTTGCCTGGGTATCAGCAGCGGTATCTGCAGAACCGCGGATTTTCATGATCCGTGAATGCTGCTGTCTGATCGTTCCTCTGGAAGTTTTGTCTCAGAGGAGTACCCGGCCGTGTGAGGTGTCAGTCTGCCCCTACTGGGGGGTGCCTCCCAGTTAGGCTGCTCAGGGGTCAGGGGTCAGGGACCCACTTGAGGAGGCAGTCTGCCCGTTCTCAGATCTCTAGCTGCGTGCTGGGAGAACCACTGCTCTCCTCAAAGCTGTCAGACAGGGATATTTAAGTCTGCAGAGGTTACTGCTGTCTTTTTGTTTGTCTGTGCCCTGCCCCCAGAGGTGGAGCCTACAGAGGCAGGCAGGCCTCCTTGAGCTGTGGTGGGCTCCACCCAGTTGGAGCTTCCCGGCTGCTTTGTTTACCTAAGCAAGCCTGGGCAATGGCGGGCACCCCTCCCCCAGCCTCACTGCCACCTTGCAGTTTGATCTCAGACTGCTGTGCTAGCAATCAGCGAGACTCCGTGGGCATAGGACCCTCTGAGCCAGGTGTGGGATATAATCTCCTGGTGCGCCATTTCCTAAGCCCGTCGGAAAAGTGCAGTATTTGGGTGGGAGTGGCCCGATTTTCCAGGTGCCATCTGTCACCCCTTTCCTTGACCAGGAAAGGGAACTCCCTGACCCCTTGCACTTCCCAAGTGTGGCAATGCCTCACCCTGCTTCGGCTGGCACACAGTGCACTGCACCCACTGTCATGCCCCCACTGTCTGGCACTCCCTAGTGAGATGAACCCGGTACCTCCGATGGAAATGTAGAAATCACCCGTCTTCTGCGTCGCTCATTCTGGGAGCTGTAGACCGGAGCTGTTCCTATTCGGCCATCTTGGCTCCTCCCAATGTTCCTTTTATTATATTTCTATCCCTTCAGACGTTGGAACTTACCAGTCACTCACACACAAGAATACATTATTTCAATCAAACTTTATTTCCTGCCAAGAGAGAATAGTGACATCCATTAAGAATGGGAGTAACTTTAAGGAGTAGTAACTCAGGTGAAAAGCCAGAAAGCCATAGTAGACTCTCTAGTAGGACATATAGGAAAGAAGAAAAGAGTGCCCCAGGCAGTGGGAGGGTGAGAAAATTTCACTGCATTTCTTCTACTAACACAGTCTATAATACTCTGGCATTCCTGAATATCATCTCAAGCCTTGTCTGTGGTTATAGAGCCCCAGCCTGGACAGACAAGTAGTCTATTCAAACAGGTAATTGAGGATTGCTTTACTTATTTGTCCAACTGGTGTGAATTCCATTTATTTTGGTTTTGTTTTCCTATTGTTTCTTACTTTATTATAAGTTTAACATAGCTGTGGGTTGTTCTGATGCAATGTAGATTTGGCCTCAGAGAAACAGACATTTTCAATCTACAACCCAGACTACCTATGTAAATGCTTTAGCTATGCTATAAAGGATTTATATCTTGATATTATTAGGCAGGCAGCATGGTATAATAGAAAGGGCACTGTTTTGAGAGTTGGGCTTTTTAAGTACTAATCTCAGTCATCCTAAATAACTGTGTAAAGTCTATGTTTCCATGTCTCAGCTGTAAAATCGGAGGACTGAACAAGAAAATTTTCTGGGTCTTTTCTATCTTTAACAGTATGCAATTCTTCTAATTACATATGCTTCCTGATTTTCCTCTAATTTCATATGAGATTTACTGGCTTAAAGTCTCAAAGTAATTTTCTGACAAGTAGGGTGATAATACTTGTACTGTTTATCTCACAAAGTTGCAGGAAGATACCATATTAAATTATGTGTGTCACTATACATTTGCAAACCGCAAAGCTCTATACTTGAACAAAACACATTATCATTGGATATTTCTATTTCTAATATTACTATGGTTTAAAAAGATTCATGATACCTCAATATGCAACCAGCAGAGGGAGACAAGTTCAGATGATATTTCTTCTTGAAACATAGAATCAGTTAATTGTTATATGGATGTGTTTTTAAAAATCAAAATGAGATTCATTATTGGCAAATAGGTCACTTGCCAACATGCTGTATATATAAATATATTGAAGTAACAGAAACATGTGATAGAAAAAAAAAGAAAAAAAAAACACAGACAAATATGGGGGAAAGAATCTGAATTTCTGGTCTTAGTTTATTACAGAATGCAGAGACAGCTCTCCAGTGAAGAATGTCATATTCCTAAGACAACTTCCTGAGCCTGTCCATCTGGAAGTGCAGGCTATTTGAGTACCAATTTAGGAACCAATCCAGAATTCTAAAAGTAGAATTTCCAAATTCCCTCTGAATCTAGCTTTTTTTTTTTTTAACTCAACATTTCTATTTTATCAACCTGGACTTCAAGAAAAGAAAAGGAGAGGCATCTTTTGCCCTTCCTATGTCCTCAACTTCCATATCCAGTTAGTTGACAAGTCCCAACAGTCCTGTGAAATTTCCCTAAAAGTTTTCACCTCTTTTCTCTTTTCAGTGCCATTGCCCTGTAGTCTGCTTTTTTCATTTCTTGCCTGTGCTATTTCAGAAACTTTATAGCTGGTCTTCCCTGACTGTGACTTGTCCCAATCTATCTTCCATTCCATTGCCAGTTATCTTCTTAAAATACTCCTTGCTCAAAGTTTTTGATGGCTCCATACTGCATACAGAATAAAGGCCAAACTCATTAACTTGCCTGTCAAGACCCCCACTAGCCCCAACTTACAGAAGCAGAGTCACTTTCCATTTTAACTTTTTGCCATCTCCACCCTCATACACTTTCCTACAACTTGCCCTTCCGCATGAATGTGAAGTCTCTGAATGAAGGATTTCATTCCTCATCATTAATAGGAAGCAACAGTATATATAATTGATAAAGTTTGCCTCTCATCATTTCATCAGCAACTTTATTAGCCTTCTAACTAGTAATTCTACTTCATCTTTGTTCTACTTTTTAATTTCCCGTTGCCAAAATAAGCTCCCTAAGATGTCAGTATCTCTCCTCCCTCCTCCAGAATCTAAAGTGGCCTTCTAACTATGAGATGAAGCGTGACTCTTCATTCAGGCATTCAGGATTCTTCATTAGGCAGCTTCTCTAACCCACCTTCTTGCTCCTCTCCTCTCCTTCTGTTAGTTGGGTGAGACTTCCTGCAGCTCCATTCTTATTGCAGACTGATTCTCATGGCCATACTTTGCTTAAAGTGTTGTCTTCCTCCATTCTTTTCTTACACACCTTTCAACGATAACCTAAAATGCCATTTTCTCCACAAAGCCCCTTACTGGATTCCTTTTCTGAATTCCCATAGCATTTCGATTCTGCTCCCTTACAATTCAGTCCTCAGTTATTCACTGATGAATCTTATTCTGTGCTTCATGTGTGTTCGTCTTATTGCTCTATCTCATGAGTTTCTGGGTTCCTGAAAATGAGAACTCTGAATTTTGGTATTTTCAGTACTAATCAGCATCAAAGAGAAGACTGGACATATACATTGATTCATTTGCCTCTGTTCTATACTGAAGAGCAAGTTTGAAAGGTCTGCCTTATAATTTTACAAAGACAATATTTAATCCCTCTCTGGAAGGAGTTTCTAATGCCATTTCCCCATTAGACTTGCAGAAGGGCAGGGTGGTCAGTCTTGTACATCATTGTTTCCTTAGAGGTTAGCACAGTCCCTGTTATATGATAGGTCTCAAGAATTATTCATTAATTTAATGAACTTTCTCATATATGGCAACACAACTGATTTGGCAGGTTTTGTGAATCCTCTTCCTCTCATCCAGGCAATGCTCTTAGACTCAATATTAAAAGCATGTGAGAATGTGAATTACAGACAAGATAAGAAAGGAAGATACTTTTAAGCAGGTCGACTTCTGGGACCCTTTGAATAATATAATGACCTAATACTGAACTTGCCCTGCAGCTCGATATTGTCAGTAAACTCTGGAGAAAACATATTAGTGTTATTTACATGACTTATAGCCTCAAGATATTTGACTAGGCATTTTATTTAGATTTAGCAGGATAGCTATTGCCTGATAAATATAGATATGTAAGGAAATATTTAGTAAAGTTTAATAATTACATAGCATCTGTTCCTCTTGTTATGCACTTCTTAATTTCTAACACACTGGCTTATTACACTGATATTTAATTAACATACAATAAACATATTAATGGCAAGCAAAGTTTATACTTAAAGAAAAGCAGCAACTGGAGCACCTTTTTTTGACTAGCTGGTATTAATAACAACCTACTTGACATTCTGTCAGTTCTTATTTGATGATTTGATGAGTGGTGGCTTTCTACAAGAGTATACCAGAATTGAATTAATACAGTGAGGAGGAGTGCTGGCATATGGAAAACATTGATCACTTGTGATAGCAGATGGCCTTTTGGGGAAGATTTCCCCATTATGAGCAAATCTAGTCAACTCAATCTCCTCTCCATCTCATTTTTACCCCATAGTCTAAGCCAGTTGCCACTGGATGACTACGATTTTCTTCGGCTTGTTTCCTTTCTTCTGCTATTGCTCTTTTACCGTCCACTCTTCAATCTTTCTAAGATGTAAATCAGATTATGTCAATCCCTTGCTTATTCAGGTCAGTAGACTAAAATCTAAATTTCTTACACAGAATGTTTTCATTATGACCCTTCCTTACTTTCTCATTTTTATTTGTCTTTTCCAACTACCCTCATAACATACACACAAACTACATCACAGGTTTATTGTCTTTGTTTTGGTTCCTGGTGTATGACACTCTTAGTTCTACCTCAGGGCCTTTGCGAATGCCATTTCTTTTACCCGGAAAGGCCTTCGTGCTGATATTTGCATGGAAGCCTCCTTAGATTTTGGGATTTAGTTAAAATACCAACCTCTTCAAAGAGGTGTTGGTTGGCCACTTTTCTTTATGTTCCCATCACCACATCTCCAGGCCATTTACTCTGTATCACACATTTTTCTTTAATAGCATTTGCTTTCTGAAATAATCTTAATCTGTGTGTACTTGTATAGTGTTCATTTCTGCATCTGGGATACAAGTTCAACAGAGGAGAGTCTTGGCCTGTCTTGATTCACTACTGTATCAATAAAAGCATATTGATCAAACGAATGAATTACAAACCTATTGGGCATGTCAGAATATGGAATTGTACACCCACCTCCACTATTCCTCAGTTCTCCTTGGTCTATTTTCAGATTGTAGGAATTCAAGTTACTACAACAACCACAAATAGGGGGTAGAATTTCCTGATTACCTGCTTATACTAACATGTTGCTATACTGAAGATGCCATTACTGTCATCTTTCCAGATGTTGCAATATTCTTCCCGTATCTGGGGGGTAGATCAAAAAGCGTAGTAGCAATGCAGATGCAGCAGTTTTTAGCTATTTCCACCTCCTTGTACATGGTGGCAGAGTGGACAACCTAGAAAAGAGGAAGGTCCAAGGGCTGGTGTATATACTTCTGGGAAATAATAAGGCACATGAAAATTACTTTTCTGATGTGCAAATGCATCAGTAAGTGTAAGCACATATATGTTTATGCATAATCAGGAGCAGAAGCAAGAAGTGAGGATGCAGGCAGCAGTTTAAGAATCCCAAAGCCCTTTCAAAAACTGGGACAGATCCAAGCATTGATGCCTACCAAAATAGAACAAGTGACCAAAGTATACTTACTTAGAAGCAAAAGACTGATATGATAATAATAAACCACAAAGACATGCACTAAATGCAAACCAAAGAGTGATTTTTTAATTGTGTAGGATGTGGACCACGTGTTTTACATCACTGGGGGAGGGGGTCTATAGTAAAGATTTGGACAATATTTAACTGACTTGCAGCTGACTGATTTTCTTAGGCAGTGACACACATGCCAATGAAGTGTCTGTATTGGAAGGCCTAGATTCCAGAGAAAACTCATATAAGATAGTGCTATGTTTATAAGCATAAACTGGGTTACTTGAATATTGCTAAATTATGATGAAATCATTGAAAATGTCATACCACGGATCCTAAGGAAAAGTATTAGCAATTCTGCATTTCTAGTTCATATGGAAATGTTAATTCCACTTAGAAAAGTAAGGTACAGGCATGGTGTTATTATGATTAAGACCTTACAACTGTAGAAATGTAGAGTAGTATATTAATATTATAGACATGTTTAGCATAAAATGCAAGCAGTGTTGCTAAATTAGTTGCACATTCCAGGCTGCATCTGGATTTCATGTGAGCCTATTACCTTACAAAGCTAAACAGAAGAATAAACCTTTCATGCTTCTTAGGGTACTCAGACGTTAGGCAGTTTTTGTTTTTCCTGCAACATTTGTCCCTGAAGAGTGCCAGAATCTTCTAAAGCCTCTTTTAGAAAGGCAGTATGTTATTTTAAAGTAGTAGTTAAGATCATCTTACTTGGGTGATGATGGCTGTTTCACATGGCTAACAGCCACACTTGCCTCACAAATAACCTGAAAGTATGTTCATTTTTGCCAACCCTCTTGGAAAAATGTATATAGTGGTTTACAAAAAAATAGCTTGTGTAAATTTCAGCCACACGTTTATTTGTTTCCTTCTCTACATTTCCGAAGAAAGAAAGCAGAGAAGTTAATATCAGGGTAGATTTAGGGGAGTGACCACTAGGATGAGATACATTATCCAATGTATATTGACTGTTGGATTTCTTAGGAAACGAGAGATAATGGAGGAAAAAATACCAGAAGATTTCTATCAGTAAGTGAAAAGAGGAAGAACTCTGAGAAAGCATAATATTGAAATGGAAGTAGATGGTACACCCTCAAATACTTTTATTATTTTGTAAATGGTGAGGTAAGCCAAGTAAGTGAGCATAAGCATTTAATCACTCTTCCGTTCTTATATTTATCAAGTATAAAGTACTCCCTCTGGGCCAAGGGCTGGGTTAAAGAGTTGTACTTGAAGTGCTACCTGGATGTAAATAATAAATTTTAAATGAATAAAACAAACTTTGTAATTTTGAAATTGTTGATTCAGTCTAATTGAATTAGAAATAATTTCTAAACAGCCTAAATTAGGGAATTTTTAAAATATTGTCTTTTTAAAAAATTGCATCTTACTTTCAGTCATCATAGTAAGTCAATTTAGTTTAACAAAAGCTGCCAAGAAATGGACTTTATTTAATAAAGATATTTTTAAAAACCTTTAATTACATTATATGATTTTTATACACATATGTGTTTATAATTTGTTTCTGATTAGGTAGGTTAGGCAATTCTATAATTCTGATTACAATCCAGATTTACTTTAATATATCCATTTCTCAGAGTGAATGTAGAGACAAATTCCAGATTTGATTGAGTTACTACAAATTCCACATTCCTACTACTTTGATGTAAATTACTTCATATTACAGTATGTTAAACATATGTTTTCTCCAAGCACCACCAGGCAAGTTCTTCTGGTAGTATGAGGTTACCAGTATAGGTATTAGCTAACAATCATGTATAAACATCTTCTGTTTATGATATGCTACCAGCCACCATACTTCCTCCTTGTCCTGAAAAAAACTTTCCTTTCTTCATACAAAATCTAGTTGACTGACACAGGAGAATACTTATACTCTTTAAATGTCTAATCCTTCCCCTCAGAGTATCTCTGCTCTTACTGGGGGTCATACTATTCACCTAGCACCAGCAATGGAAACAGATGATTCTCATAGCTACCAGTCCCTTTTATCTCTCTTTTCTTCCACTTGACATGGAAGAAGCACCAAACCAAAGGATATATGTTAATCGAAGCCTTTGTCTAAGCCAACTCTTCATTCCTAAGTGCTTAAAATCATCATTCTCAGTAAACTATCGCAAGAAGAAAAAACCAAACACCGCATATTCTCACTCATAGGTGGGAATTGAACAATGAGATCACATGGACACAGGAAGGGGAATATCACACTCTGGGGACTGTGGTGGGGTGTGGGGAGGGGGGAGGGATAGCATTGGGAGATATACCTAATGCTAGATGACGAGTTAGTGGGTGCAGCGCACCAGCATGGCACATGTTTACATATGTAACTAACCTGCACAATGTGCACATGTACCCTAAAACTTAAAGTATAAAAAAAAAAAACAAAAAACAAACAAACAAACAAAAAACAAAAAACAAAACAAACAAACAAAAAAATTAGCCTGACAAGGATGGTCAAGTCTGTTGGTGGTGTGGGGAAAGGGAGGGTGCTCTTTTCTCTGCAATCTTGGCAGAAAATTATGTAATCCTTGCATCTTTGATCTTCGTTTGTTTGTTTGTTTGTTTGTTTGGCACTTGAAGCTCATTTGTCCATTGATACCGGGATTCACAGGATTATGAGTTTTTTAGTCAACTATCCACTTGGCCTAACTATTTCTCCTATGGCAAAATGGATTCCAAGTTTTAAACAGCTGAGTTATAACTTAGTGGTCGAACATTGGTTTATTAACTGGGCACTGTGTATAATCCCTGACATAGGACACCTTGATTTATATAAAATGAATGCACAGTACACATAAAATTAATTGAACTCCATCAATCATGGATTTGTGACAATTCAGGTTCCAATCCTCCGTGTTTTCTTAAAAGCAAAATAGGTCTTCCTTTTTTTCCTCACGTAATCTGTAAGAGTTCATCTATCTTTTAAACTGAAAACATGCGCAGAAAAAGTGCTTTGAGTATTCTGAGGACAAGCCAGTTTCAGCACAGTGTTTCTTTAAGGCTTGTGCTCTGGTGGGGTTTGATAAGGATTCCTAAACATGTTTCTTTCTTTCTTTTTATTTTATTTTTGGCAAATGTCCTAGGCTAAACATTTGCTTACATAAGAGGGATGGGTATAATATCTATGTACATATTTATTTTTATATATATGGAATATTTATGGAAAGATATATAACAAACTTAAAATATATGTTGCCTCCAAAAAAGAGAAATGGGTTGCCTAAAGACGGGAATAAGAAGAAAACTACGGCCGGGCGCCGTGGCTCACGCCTGTAATCCCAGCAGTTTGGGATCCCAGCAGTTTGGGAGGACGAGGCGGGTGGATCACGAGATCAGGAGATCGAGACCATCCTGGCTGACACAGTGAAAACCCGTCTCTACTAAAAAAAATACAGAAAAAATTAGGCGTGGTAGCGGGCGCCTGTAGTCCCAGCTACTCGGGAGGCTGAGGCAGGAGAATGGCGTGAACCCGGGAGGCGGAGCTTGCAGTGAGCCGAGATTGAGCCACTGCACTCCAGCCTGGGCAATAAAGTGAGACTCTGTCTCAAAAAAAAAAAAAAAAAAAAAAAGAAGAAGAAAACTGCAATTCACTCTATAGCATCTTGTACCATTTGGTTTTTGTACCATATGAATACTTTCATTATTTAAATAAATATAATCAAAGAAGAGAAAAATAAAGTCCTTGGCTGGTACAAACACATTTTTTATCCTCAACATCAGTAATGAGGGAGATGTCCAAGAGTGTGGGGCTGTCACTTGAGTGACTATCAGTGGTCTTTATGGTCCTCATCACTTGCTTGGCTCATGGAATAAAAGGAGTGACAAATGATGGTAACCTGTCTGCCATTAGCAGGAGTACTGCACACAACCTTACTTAGTGTCTCCTTGCAAATGACAAGCTTTCTGATTTACAAATCTCCTTCCTTGCATATGAACATTTTGAGAAGTAAGTGCCAGGAGGAACTTGGGTAGCAATTCAATGTGCCCTTTAAATAGTAATCCTTAATACCATTACTCATGTGTAGGATTGAGTGAGAGTTTCCTGGAGAGTGAAGTTGATTTAGGGATCAGGGATCAGCTGCTGAGGCTGGCACTTGGAAAAAACAAGCCAAGCATTCACACCCCAGACCACTCAATACCAGCATTGTCTCCAATCCATCTTTCATAAAGGGGTTCCAAGAGGGGGAGGGGATGAAGGAAGGAGAGAAAATAAACCATTTTAATCCTGTAAGAGAAAGTGCAGGAAAGAGGAAAGAATGAACAAGACTTGAACACGCAAAGCCAGTTGCCAAGAATGTTTCGTTTGAAATCAACTTTGGCTTTTAATCTTAGACTCCACTGTCAAGTTTCTCCTCAGTTTCCTTCTCCCATCTTTCAGGACATTCCCCACCCTCACTCCCCACCTCAAAGCTTTCCTGTCCTCTGTCCCACTCCCCTCATTTGCAACTCTCCTTCCCACCTCCTTTTTCTTCTTTCCTCACCCCTTCCCTCTCCTTTCCTGGACTCTTTCTCCTGTTCTTTTATAACTTAAGTCCCTCTCCTTCTCCCCTCTCTCCTGAACAGTACCTCTAAGCTCCGTTCCCCCTTCTTAAGGAAATCAGCCAGGCCTCAGATGGAGCTGTCGTCCTGACAACCCAAAGGCGCATCAGGCTTTCATTGAGGCTGGCTGCTGCTGAAGGGGGCAGTTGTGCAAAGCGAGGGGCCACGTCGAGGGGAGGGCGGAGGGGATGACGTGGAGGGGCTGTTGAAAACCAGCAGGGTGGGGGGAGGGTGGGGGGGTGGGGGGGAGGTGCTGAGCTGAGAGAGCGCCAGGGACTGGGAGAAACAGGAAAGGGAGGAGGGGGAGAGAGGCTCTGGGTTGCTGCTGCTTCTGCTGCTGCTGCTGCTGTGTGGCTGTTTCTGTACACTCACTGGCAGGCTTGGTGCCGGCTCCCTCGCCCGCCCGCCCGCCAGCCTGGGAAAGTGGGTTACAGAGCGAAGGAGCTCAGCTCAGACACTGGCAGAGGAGCATCCAGTCACAGAGAGACCAAACAAGAACCCTTTCCTTTGGCTTCCTCTTCAGCTCTTCCAGAGGGCTTGCTATTTGCACTCTCTCTTTTGAAATTGTGTTGCTTTTACTTTTCACCCTTCTGCTTGGGTTTTATGAGGGCTTTGTTAAGTCTTAGAGGGAAAAGAGACTGAGCGAGGGAAAGAGAGAGGCAAAGTGGAAAGGACCATAAACTGGCAAAGCCCGCTCTGCGCTCGCTGTGGATGAAAGCCCCGTGTTGGTGAAGCCTCTCCTCGCGAGCAGCGCGCACCCCTCCAGAGCACCCCGCGGACCCGCACCTCGGCGTGGCCACCATGGTCAGGAGAGTTCAGCCGGATCGGAAACAGTTGCCACTGGTCCTACTGAGATTGCTCTGCCTTCTTCCCACAGGACTGCCTGTTCGCAGCGTGGATTTTAACCGAGGCACGGACAACATCACCGTGAGGCAGGGGGACACAGCCATCCTCAGGTAGGGCTTTCGGGCAACTTTTCTGCTGCGCGCGTCTACACGTGTGTGTGTGTGTGTGTGTGTGTTTGTGTGTGTGTGTGTGTGTGTGTCTGATCTCCTTGAACTCCAGCTCCTGATGCTGCAGGCTTGTGGTGTGTGTGTGTGTGGTGTGTGTGTGTGTGTCCCTGTTTTACTGACTGGTTGGCATTATAGCTAACAAAATTCAAGGGAATTCTGGTCCCTGTCAAGCAGCAGTGGTGTTGGTTAAATGTTGTTCGGTTCTTAGGACCTTGTTTCTCTTATCAAGGAAGCCTAACTTCACCCATGGCATTAGTGACTTCTGGGCAGTATTCTCACTATTGTAATTGCTGTGGCATTGCACTTGAGAGTTTTGTTGGGGGTCCTTAATTCTGAAAGAAAGGTTGTTGGATTATGGCTCTCAGAGAGTAGTACACAGTACTGCATTCTCCTTGCTCCTCCCGTGTCTGTGTGTGTGTGTGTGTGTTTTTCATGCCAACACACACACACACATACACACACACACACACATATCAAGGTTGTGTGTGAGGGTTTCTGATAGAAGACTTTCTGTAAGGATCTTCTAATTGACATGGAGGGCAATAAATCAATCTTAGAACTTTGGTTGGTTACTGAGCCTTTCCTGGAATGTGGATATAAATCAACACAAGATATGAAGAGCAGAAAGAAAAGGAATTTGCCAAATTGCTGATATTTAAGAGTAGGAGTGTTAAACACAGAGGTTGGGAGAGAATTAACCTGGCATAAAATGGATATTTCAAATTGATTATTGACTTCAAAGTCTTTTTTTCTGTGCAGCTCTGGCAAACTCTAAAATAATTTGAGATTGAAATTTGGAAAGAAGAGTCCCAAGTCCTTGGGAGTTTGACCCCTATCAGGTACTGTGAGCTAGAGAGACTCAAATGAGACCTAGTCATATTTTTATTTCTAAAATGCTCCAAGGTTATTTTTTGTGCTTCTCTTTTCTCTTCCTCCTCTCCACCAACTGTACCTACCCCTTGTTCTTTTTTCTAGCTTTCCTTGAATTTCTGGCAGATGCTAACAAAAAGAAAGAATCACTCTCCTTGGAGATCTTTTAAAAATCTCATTTCCTCCAAATAAAATGACCCAGTGTCAGTCTGTCTATCTAGGTAATATTGCTTGTTGTGGCAATAAAAACACAGTATACAATAGAAAATAAACCTCTAATCTGTGTGCAAGGAGCTGATAGTGCATAAACCCTGGGGCATCAGGGAGCAGTTCTCTAGCAGAGCTGCCGACAGCAGCAAAGTTTTCTTTCCTTTTCTCAGAAATAAATTTGGTTGGCTGTCACAGTGTCCTGCTTTGGGAGCTCTAGCCTTGTTAGAGACGAAAGTGTGTGTTGTGTGCCGTGCATTGCATGTGTGTGTGTTGTGTGGGTATGTGTTTCTCCAGATTGTAAAAAGTAAGAAAATGCTAATGTGTAAGCACTCCTTTCTTCATTTCCTGAGCTTTGGGTGATTACGAATCCCAAAGATCCTACTATCCAAAGCAGATTTTCCCTTCTAGCTCTTCAGCCTTATAAACCTGCATGTGTGATTTATCCACATGGAGTAATCAGATTTACAGAGTAATTTATCTGTTTGCAAAGGAATTTGGACATGGTGCAGAAAATGTTTTTGCAAACACACAAGCATGCCATTTCAATTGCTAACATTCATACTCCCTAACATCATTAACCCTTTAATGGTGAAGCACTCTATATAAATATATGCTATCCCTAGAAATTTTGTTCACTGGTTACAAGATTGAATATGAGAAAAATGAATAACTTGAATGTATATGTTTTTTATTTCAGTGTCCTTGAGCTTTGTAAGGTCTTTCTAAGTTAGCATCTCCTATACCTTAAACTACAGTTGTCTAAGAGTTAGATAAGTATAGAAATGTTAATTCAGAAGAATAAAAACATTCTTATGCTTTCATACAGAGGCAGTCTCACTGTATACATATCTATGGATGATACATATGTGCTTTTGTATGTCTATGGCGCAATAGAAACAGAGTTTTAAACATTACGCTTTAGCAGACATTACAGTGTGGAAATAGGGACTCTGAGAGAAAAAATAAACACAGAACCACTTATTCTCTGGGAAAGAAAAGACAGACAAACAGAGCATGCAAATAAGTCGCCTATGAAACACCATTTCTTTTCCAGACCTCACCTTACATGCCCTCTTTTTTATTTCCTTGCCTTGGACAAGGGTTTATTTTGGGGTTGGTGGAGCTTCATCAGAATTAACTATGGAGAGAATTCCCTTTGTCTTCTTAGCTGACCTTCTTCTCAATCTCTTTAAAACCGGTAAGCTTTCTGGGTCAGTTTCCTGGTGAAGAATGGTGCTCTTGCTTTCTGCTTATAAGGCCAGCCTGGGAAAGGTGTGTTTTCACTTTATTTGTGACATTTTACTGGGTGCATGAGCTTTCAGGGAAGGAAAGGAAGGAGAACTTGATTCATTGGAAGCCACAGTAGATGTCTGGCACCGAGAAAGTGAAATGGCTAGGAGAAAAAAATAATTCTCTTAGTGAGTTTGTGGCCCCGAATGATATGAGATGGCAACAGGAGACAAGGGAGGTTTGTAATTCTGGTAATCCAGTGACAGGAGTTTGGCTGTCTGTCCCCAAAACATTTACCTTCACTGACTTAAAGTTTTCTGTGAAACAAGAGTTTCTTTTGGGGATTGATGCTCATTTTTGTATAATTATGATCTTTAGTGTAATTATGCATCAGATAGGAGAGTGCACACTAGGCTTCAGGTCTTGCCCTCAATTTCTATCATTTTGAAAATAATAAAAACTATATAATTATGGTGACAAAATTGGAGGGAAAGAGAGGTAGCTTCATGTATACATACCTAACTCAATTATTTTCTAGAGGAGATTACAGACCTGTGTGAGAAATTATATAAAGAACTAAAGATAACCACAATACCAACTTCTGTCCCAGGGACAAAGAATCAAAGTGTGATTCACAGAGTAGTGGCGGCAGCAGCAGCAGCCTTGGCGGTCCTCCCTAAATAGAACAACCAGAATCTGCATTTATATTTGTGTGTACAGGAAAGAGTGAGACACGCTTATCCGCAGGACTTCAGTCATGAAGCTGCCTCAGGTGCTTTTCTAAACAGAGTCTACCTGCCTCATTACCAGCTCCCACAGGAGTAAGAGTTCAATTACAGGATAAGTTTCTAACACTGTTTCTTCCCTCCTACCCTCATACCCATAGAGATTCACCTCCTGCTTAATATTGGAAGGTTGAGACTATGTATTAATAGTTCTCTTACAAGTCAAAGAATAGCAGAAATAGAGGGTATTTCAAACCAACCTTTAAAATTTCATTTTTAATAGTCCTACTGACCATATTTTCAACATGAGTGGCAGATTTCTGAAAAGATAATAATAAAATATTTGGCCACAAAGAACCATGTTAGTTTTATAATACATTATATTATCACATATCTATTCATAAGGCAACTTTGTAAAACGTACATACACATGCGTATCTGGATATAAAACAAGTAGGCATGTGATAAAATACAGGGACTTCACACTTGTGATTTTAAATATTCTAAATTCAAGGTAATAAAATTTTATTTAGCTCACAATTCTGACCCTATCTGATGTTTACAGGATATTATAATACTTTTAATGATAATAACATTGTTCCCAGTTAAATGTTAGCGTACCTAACAAGTATTACAGATTCCCAAGGAAACTAAGTATCTAAATGAAGAATAGCTAATGTTTAGTTTTTTCAAAGTTGGGGTCTTTAATTCCCTGTTTGTTTCTACACCAAGGGGGGAAAAGAAGAAACAACAAAAGGAGATTTGATTATTTGATAGTGAAATATAAAGATCTTGTTCAAATTTCTGTTTATCTTCTGTAAATCATGTGGAATGGCAATATTCACTAATGAAGTGTCAACCCTCAAATTCTTGATACGATATGTGATTTTCTATGACTTACAATTCACTATTTGAAACAAACTGTGGGCATGGGCCTACTGGGTAAGTTTGTGACCATCATGAAATTTTCTTTTTCTGTAGTTAAATCACTAAATGTTATCAAAATTTGTTGGTTAGCCCTGATACTGTAAGGATCGTGCATTGCAGATAAATCCTTTATCAAATATACTTAGTAAATGATGGAGTATAGCATACTATATATCATCTAGGAATATGGCATATTATATACATTTTGTTAAAGAATATTTATGTACCTGTGAGCTTTATCATTTGTTGTCATTTATGGCCTGAGAAACAGAGTGGGCAAATCTCGCAAGAAAAGCAAATTGTGGCCACCTGTGTTTCTGTAAGTATGGGACATATAAGTGGGTTTATACACACATACAATACACAGGAGATTTTTATTTTATGTGGTTTGACTTAGAATGACGTATTTGTAGAATTGTGGAAAGAACCAAAGGTGACTGACTCATCCACTGAGTCACTGGTGAGGGTTAAACCTTTGTGTTTCTCAAAGCTGATTCCACATAACAGCAAACTCTGCCCAAAAAGGATTAGTGCATTTTACCCTGGTCTCTGAGAGTGCCAAATACAAAGGGCTGTGACTCCCCTGATAGGAGGTTGCCTCAATATCCTTGTCCCTCTCCCTGTCATCATCTGAGCCTCAGAGATATCCCTCCTCCAGGGCATAATTTACAGCTTATAGCCACTGGCCCTGTTTTTCTCTCAATGTCCTACCTCTTAGTTTGTACGACTCAGAAGATCTGGGCTCTGAATTTGGATCTATCCTTGCATGCTGTAACTTTAAGCAAGTCTCTTGAATACTTTGAGCTTCATTTTCCTTTACAAAATGCTGAAACTGTCAGCTGGGTGCGGTGGCTCACGCCTGTAATCCCAGCACTTTGGGAGGCTGAGGCGGGGGGATCACAAGGTCAAGAGATTGAGATCATCCTGGCCAACATGGTGAAACCCCATCTTTACTAAAAATACAAAAACTAGCTGGGCGTGGTGGCGCCCACCTGTAGTCCCAGCTGCTTAGGAGACTGAGAAAGGAGAATCGCTTGAACCCGTGAGGCGGAGGTTGCAGTGAGCCAAGATCGCGCCACTGCGCTCCAGCCTGGCGACAGAGCGAGACTCCGTCTCAAAAATAAATAAATAAATAAAAATGCTGAAACTATCTATTTTAGTTACCCTACAGGGTTGTTTTAAGACGTTCACAGGAGGTAAGGTAGAAGTTTGTTGAATTATAAAGTGCTACACAAATGTAAACAATCAACGGCTTTTCAACCACATACAGCCAGTTATTTAGACTTCAGAGAATTCTTTTTTCTTTTTTCTTTTTTTTTAGGCCAGTGTGTCTCAAATTTCAGTGTGTATGTGGAGGGCTTGCTATAGCAGATTGCTTGACCTCCATCGCTAGAGTTTTTGAGTCAGTAGGTCCCTGGTAAGTCTGAGAATTTGCATTTCTCACAAGTTCTCAGGTGATGCTGATACTACAGGATACTACAAGTGTGATCCACAGGTGGGCATCTTAAGTATCACATAGTTGCATTAAAAAAAAAAAACAACAAAATCTCAGGACCTATGCTGGAGGGACTAAATCAAAGTCCACATTTTAATAAGACTTCCAAGCGATTCGCTAGCATATTGAGGTTGGAGAAGCACTGCATTCGATACTTCACAGCCACGGGAGCACAGTACCATCAGCTGGGGAACTTCTAAAAAATACTGCTGCCACATATCCTCTCTTCTCAGAAATTCTGATGTAGTTTGTTTGGGGAAGGGACTGGGCACAGGTTGTCGTTCTTTTGTTTTTTAATGATTCTGCTATGTACATAGAGGTAAAAACCAATGCCTAACTGGATAAGGAGTCTCCTTTACAGATCACTTTCAGGGCAGCACTAAATAGATATCAGTAAAAAAATTGGAGTCACATTGTATCGTTTGAGAAATATATCAGTAGCCAAAGATGAACAAATTCAAACGGGAGAGAGGAAATAGACCACCATAAACCCATTTGTTTGTTACACAATTTCATCCTTATGAGCCATGGAAAATGGGGTGACTTTATTTAATATGGATCAGATTTACATAACGTCTATGGAAATAACATAAAGCTTATTATTCTGTGCTGTCTCTCATTTGGGTTAGACAAGGTACAGAACTGTTCTAAGTTGTTTTTGTTGTTGCTTCTAATGCTATCACTAAGGGAGAAAACAGACAATATTTAGACAAGGAAACTGGCTTCTGTGCCAACATATTCAAGCACAGTAAATTCTGTGCACTTATATATATGAACATGTGATTTGCTAAATAATTGTATAATTCATCTCAATTTTATATAGTGATTTCTCTTTAGTTGAAACTTATAGAAAAGCCTATGTCATAGATAAAGACTTTTCATAAAGGATGTAATAAGTTCAAAATGGTCAACAAGTAGTCAGAAGATCAACCTCTTAATAGCATGAAATACTGTAATTTATTAAATAAAGATAACTGACAACTATTTTTGCCTACTACACAAGCTATTTTTATGATCAAATGATATTGTATGTATCAAAGTATTGTATAAACTCTATAATGGTATAAACTATAAACTCTTAAGACTATAGTCATATATTTACAGCAGGATATAACTTTTAGAAAATTTTAAAAATGTAAGAAAACAAGCCTTTTATTCTTATTTCTATGCTATACACAGGCCATTTGCACTACGATGTTTTTATTATGTCATTTCAAGTCCTTTAAAGTCACAAGTATCTTACGATATAGTTGAGTTTCTTATCAGGAGTGCAGGGCAAGTAGACTTTTTTTTTTTTTTTTTGTAGTTACCTGTAATTAAAACTTAATCTCCAGTTAATGTGTGATTAACCTTTACAAAATAAAACACTTTACTTCAGATTTTGTTAATTACTGTAGGAAAACCTCATAGATATGTAGAATAGGAAAGGCCTTGGAGATTAGGCAGTCCACCATCTCATTTTAAAGTGTTTTAACTGAGAAGAGAAAAATTTAGTTCGTTATCCAAAAACTTGAGTGATCAATTGAGAATTAGAACTCATGTATTTTAATTTTCATTTCACAGTACCACTGAGATTACCTTTTTGGTTTTCATTTTATCTGATGAAATGCCATTTTTATTATACATAAATGTATCCTTAAAATTGTCTTTCTCTCCTCTTCCTTCCTCTCCTTTTCTCTCCTCTCCCCTTCCCTTCTCTCCCTTCCTCCTCCCTCCAATTCTTCCCTCTTGCCTTCTCTCCTCCCTTCTCCTCTCTCCTTCCTCTCCCCTTTTCCCTCTCTCTTCTCCCTGTAAATCAAATCTGCATTTACCTGTGGAGGATCATCCAGTTAGTGCTGGTCAAGGAGGATTTGTTTCAAGGAAATGTCCCATCTTGCACATGTCTACTATCTGTCTGTACCACATGGGTTTTCCTTCCTCCACTTGCAGCTTCCAGCTTATTGGTTTTTATTATTTTTTTTTCCATAAGTTATTGGGATACAGGTGGTATTTGCTTACATGAGTAACTTCTTTAGTGGTGATTTGTGAGATCCTGCTGCACCCATCACCCGAGCAGTATACACTGCACCATATTTGTTGTCTTTTATTCCTCGCCCCCCTTCCCCCAAGTCCCCAAAGTCTATTGTATCATTCTTATGCCTTTGTGTCCTCATAGCTTAGCTCCCACATATCAGTGAGAACATATGATGTTTGGTTTTACATTCCTGAGTTACTTCATTTAGAATAATAGTCTCCAGTCTCATCCAGGTCATTGCAAATGCTGTTAATTCATTCCTTTTTATGGCTTAGTATTCCATTGTGTGTGTGTATATATATATATACACATATATATATATACACACACATATATATACACATATATATATATGCATATATATATATGCCACACTTTCTTTATCTACTTGTTGATTAATGGGCATTTGGGTTGGCTTCACAATTTTGCAGTTGTGAATTGTGCTGCTATAAACATGCATGAAACATGCGTGTGCAAGTATCTTTTTCGAATAATGACTTCTTTTCCTCTGGGCAGATATCCAGTAATGGGATTGCTGGATCAAATGGTAGTTCTAGTTTTAGTTCTTTAAGGAATCTCCACACTGTTTTCCATAGTGGCTGTACTAGTTTACATTCCCACCAGCAGTGTAGAAGTGTTCCCTGATTGCTGCATCCATGCCAGCGTCTATTGTGTTTTGATTCTTTGAGTATGGCCATTCTTGGAGGAGTAAGGTGGTATCACATTGTAGTTTTGATTTTCATTAGTAATGTTGAGCATTCTTTCATATGTTTGTTGGCCATTTGTATATCTTCTTTTGAGAATTGTCTATTCACATCCTTAGCCCACTTTTTGATGGGATTTTTTCTTACTGATTTGTTTGAGGTCACTGTAGATTCTAGATATCAGTCCTTTGTCAGATGTATAGATTGTGAAGATTTTCTCCCAGTCTGTGGGTTGTCTGTTTGCTCTGCTGACTGTTCCTTTTGCTGTGCAAAGCTCTTTGGCTTAATTAGGTCCCAGCTATTTATCTTTGTTTTTATTGCAATTGCTTTTGGGTTTTGGGTCATAAAATCCTTGCCTAAGCCAATGTCTGGAAAGGTTTTTCCAATGTCACCTTCTAGAATTTTTGTAGCTTCAGGTCTTAAGTTTAAGTCCTTAATCCATCTTGAGTTGATTTTTGTATAAGTTGAGAGATGAAGATCCAGTTTCATTCTAGCCAGTTATCCCAGGACCATTTGCTGAAAAGGGTGTCCTTTCCCCACTTTACGTTTTTGTTTGCTTTGTCAACGATCATTCCCAAAGCTGTTTTTGCATTTGGTAGAACCTCTATAAGGATCACTTGTTCCTCACAACCCCGGCCCCCTTTTAAGAAAATTCTTTTCCTCTTTTTTTCTGGTACCTCTGCCTGTTACTCAGTCTTCTCATCTGAATTTGACCCTTTCTCCCATTTACTACAGCCGAGTTTCTAAACCTGCTGCCTTCTTATTGTTATTTATGAACTTCTGCCTGGTTAAGTTTCCTACCACTGTCCCTCTCAGAGGGACCCTGATTAGGATGGATGTAGATATTCTTTGAACACCCTCAAGAGGTTCTCTACTCATTATAGTCCTTGTAGATTTATTATTTAAGATCCTTTGAGGAAGGCAGAACTTTTTTCCCCCAATAGATACAAAATTTACCTTGGGCTAACAATGAAGCTGATGGTGGCCAATTGGGAGGAACTGGGTATAGATCCAGCTCTGGCTCCTGAGTGGTGAAGACAGTGTGCAAAAAGCCCTTTTGCAGGTGTCTAGTGGTTTCTGGTGTGGCACGCAGGACAAGATCTCTTGAGGTTTTCTGAGCAGTGAGAGTGAGAGGTGGAGGCAGAGATATCCAACAAGGTCTTATCAAGAGAAGGACAAAGCAGAATAAGGAGAAATAACAGGCCAGCACCCCCTAGGTAGTCCCATAGGGAGGCAGGCAGGGGTGACACGGAGGTTATCAGCTGATGGTGAAGACTCAGTTACAAGCCCCAGGAGTTCAGGAAAGGAACAGAGTCCTTGGGACAAGAGCTGACTTGAACTTGAGTCCTCAGGAATTAGGGACTTAGACCTGAGCACATTACCAAGATGGGTAACCTAGTTAAGGAGTAAAAGAGAGGGTCCCAGTTTTTAGAGCTGAAGCTCTGTACCAAAGCTATAGTAACCCAGGGATGACTTGAAGGTTAATCTCAGAGCACGGAGCTCTATCTTTTAAAACTCTTACTGTATAATCTCAGATCATAAAACCTGGTCTAGCTCTGTGGGGAAAAGATGGAGACAAAGGTCTGACATTAAGTAAGAACTGAACTAGTGCTTCTTCCTGCTTTGGTTAAGTTTACCAGATCACATCTTCAGTCTACTTAGAACTTCCAGACTTCATGGAGTTGGCAGAATGAAGGACCTGAGATGACCTATGCAAGGCCTGTTGTTTTCCAGTATTCATCTAAAAATGTCACTCGATCCTTCAAAGAACATCCACAGCATAAAGTCAAAGCCCCGGCCGAGCGCAGTGGCTCACGCTGTAATCCCAACACTTTGGGAGGCTGAGGCTGGCGGATCACAAGGTCAAGAGATCGAGACCATCCTGGCCAATGTGGTGGCACCCTGTCTCTACTAAAAATACAAAAATTGGCTGGGCCTGGTGGTGCACGCCTGTAGCCCTAGCTACTCAGAGGCCGAGGCAGGAGAATGGCTTGAACCTGGGAGGCAGAGTTTCAGTGAGCCGAGATCGCGCCACTGCACTCCAGTCTAGCAACAGAGCAAGACTCCTTCTCCTTCTACCCCTCACTCCACCAAACATCTTTACTAGTTACCTCTTTGCTCCTCCTTCAAGACTTAAGTCTCAGTTCTGGCGCATTCAGGAAATCCTCCTAAATTGTCCCAAGCTAAGCTAAGTATCCTGTTTATTATCACCACTAGCCTCTCTGAATACTTTAAACTTTGCATTTACTACATGTCTTAAAAACATCTTGTTTACTTGTGTCTTGCCTGAAATATAGGCATTTCATTTGCTTTACCTTTTCATCCCAGAATTTAGCTCAGTACCCGTGGATGCTCAAATAAATATTTGCCTACTGAATTGAACAGAGAAAGATGGTTGTACTATAAATCAAGCTGACTAAAGTTGATTTATAAAAGAGGAAACACATTAGAAGAAGATCAGACTGAAGGAAGATATTTTGGTGAAGTCAGCCACCACTGGAGTAATTGTGGATGTGGGGTTGAAGAGGGTCTAGTCATAAAATCAGAGATAGATAATTCTCTGATTATTGGTACGGTAAAGAGATTTGGTTAGAAATACCTTCAATATTTCCCATTGCAGTTATTCTTTTCAGGAATTTTATTTTTTTGGAAAATGAGAAGGGCAAATGGGGGTATTTTGGGAAGGATCCCAAAGCTTCAGAGTTACAGACATAGGGACCTAGACAAAGCATGCCCCTTTCTTAGGTAAAATAGTAGTTTCTGACAGAACAAGGAATCACTCAATGGCCCTGAAGTGAGATATCTGTGAAGAGGTCAGTATCCTGGGTAGCTCTGAGAAGAAGGAATCTACCTTCCTGGAGAGCTAGGTGGCTTTCTCCCTCTAGGGGTGACTGTGAATTTTCAGGGATTAAATAGGGGATTTGGGAGTTACTTAAATAGCAGGATTGTGTGCAACAGGTATATTCATCTCCACCGATCCATTCTAGTTTCTTTTGAAATGAGGCAATGTGCATATCACTTACATTTATTTGACTAAAACTGGTTATTCATACTGATAGTGATGCTTACCTGGGCATTGCATCTTAGAGCTCATTACACATTCCTGGAAAAATTAACGCTGGAATGTTCAGTGGAGTTTGCAATAATCCCAAATTTCCTTCTGTATATCTTTCCCTAATGTACAAGGGTATTATTTATGTGAGATAGGAGGGAAACCAATAACCATGAGGAAAAATGCAACCTAGCTTTCCATAAAATAATGCATTACTGTTTATTCTATTGTAATTGTCTAATGATGCATCTCTATATTGAATCTCTATAATTTGTCTAAAATTAATTCTATCCTTTCTAAAGTTGTACTTTAGTTATGCTACTATTTGCCACCCTATCCTACTAGAAACAAAATATTAAAAAAATAAAGTGATGCAGCCTAACACTAAGTCATGCATAGTAAGTATCTACATGTGAAAACAATGACTGGGGAACATAATTTGTTTCCTGACTTCTGATTGTTTTGTGTCATTACACACACCTCACTCTAGCATATGTGTGTTAGGGCTGTTCATTTTGTGAGACGTAAGCCACATATGGTTGCCAATTTGTAGCTGGTGTTTGTTTTGAGATAACTAAAGATCGCTGTCACCTTATACAAGTTCATGATGTAATTGTATAAGCATATCTAAAGATCAGCATTCTATATTGCTGAATCATTAACTTAGCAGGAGAATGGATTTTTTTCTTTGTCTCTCTTTCTGACCTCTGTTCTATCTCTTTTGGCACTAATATGATGCACTGATC